>NC_000002.12:29506624-29659374 GCF_000001405.40 Homo sapiens | reverse complement strand
TGGGTGTAGTGATGTCAGTGGTATGCACTTGCCTTCCTGGAAGCCTCACCTACTGATTTACCATGGGATCCTAAATACTGTCTATAAATGCAATGCTAATTTCATTAAGTAGCATTGTTCCCAGTGGAACTGCAAATCTCCCTATCAGTCACTAATGCTTTTGTTTGAGTGGGTTTAGAGGATCCCTATCACTCCTTTTAACTACCTGCAGCAGGCTTGACAGTGAATATTAGTTCTGGGAGAGGCAGGAGGAGAGGAAACCCACAATTCTAGAGCACTGGCTAAGCATTAAATCTAGGACTTTAACATCATCATCTCTTTAAGGGGAGGGGAGGGAGGACAATTCTGAAAGCCCAGTGAGATACATGGGTTTGCTTGAGATAATGAGCTCTCTCCCAATTTGATTTTTTCGTTTTGCTGAAAACTTCATAATTTTGAATTAAATGCAAGTGATTTAAAAATCACAGCACCCAAACAGTAGCTTAAACTGGCTCAAAGAGGGAATTAAACTTATGGTCCCTGCTTCAGTGTAGTTTATGAGCATCTTGGTCTATTCTAGGGGTGAGTATGTAATAAATATTATATATGTGTATTACATATTATGCAGCACACATAATTCAGAAAATTTGTATCACTTAATCCACTCTAGAAAGTAAATATACTAGCATTAATATGTATGCTAAATAAAATGGCACTCGTCACACTTGCATATTACACATCTTTAGAAATCATGCTAGTATTTTCTGAAGCCAGGTCAACTCTGTGTGGGTGTTTTATTTGAGCACTTTTGCAGCCCTTGCTCTCCCATCCCTGAATAAGGGTTACACCTAGCCACTGCTGTCTTCCTGGAAGTGTTGTTTGGTGGTATTTGGCAAGTAGTTGACATGTCTCCAAGAAAAGATATATTTATTAACTCAAATTTCATAATGCTAGAAAGGATACCAAATGAACATCTTTCCATGCAGGTAGTTAGTTCAGGTGAGGTAAGAGAAGCCCAGCTTTCCATGCAGGTAGTTAGTTCAGGTGAGGTAAGAGAAGCCCAGAGAGGTTAAGGCACCTTACCATAGCTCCAAGCTGATCAGTGAGAGAGGAGGCCCTAGAGCCTGGGCTAGGACTTCTGCAGGCTGACATAGTGCTCATTGTACCATATTACACTGCTCTCATTTGAGTGCTACACAAAGGCAGAAAAAAACTCATTTTAAGCATTTTCATTTCCTTTGTTTCCCATGGAATTACAATCCTTTGGCCTGGCTTGAGTGGACAGTGGACAGGAGAGGAGCAGATGAACACTGGAAGCTCACGTTTTTTCAGCCTTGTAGTTAGCTCTCCCTTCTCCTCCCGGAACAGGACACATGCATGGCCCGCAGAGACACCCACCATCCCTCCAGCTGTTCAGTTGAGTGAGACAGATGCTCAGTCCAGCAAGTGACCCAAAGTGACTGGCAAAAATTAATTAACTTGCTGTGGAACTAATAATAAGCTGCTGGTTTGTTTTTTCTTTCCCTAACACCAGTTGCCAAAGAGTTTTTCATTAAGGGGCTGAATGCTTCCTTTGTAACCAGAATAACCTCATTAGTTACAGCCCCATCGTAGCTGGAGAGTCAGACAACAAATCATTGTCTCCTCTTTAGCCACCGTGACCTAACTTGTTGTCTTTCATTGTCTTTCTTGGAGGAGTTTCTGTCCACCCCAAACATTCTCCATCCCTTCTTCAAGGTCTCTTTCAGAAGTGACTTTCAAGTGTATCTACCCACTGTGTTTTTCTTGACAGCAGAGCCATTTTGTGTTTGTTAATTCAGGCCTTTGTTGGAAAGAGAATAAACATGATCACTCTATGTCCATATCCCCCAATTCCCTAGCTTCTTTACCCAGGCACCTTTGGTTGGTGCTCTGCCATTTTAATTCATATTGCACGGTGCTTTACAATGTGTACCTCAGTTTCAGAGACATCTTTAGTCTTAACAAGGACCCTTCTATGCTGTCCCCATTTTACAGATGAGCTCGTGGAGGTTCAGAGAAGTAGCATATTCGGAGTCATGCTTCTACTGAAAGACACAAATGGTATTAAGATCAGGACTTCTGACTCTGAGTCAAGTGGTCTTTCTAATCCACAACAGCTGCCTCTCAGTCCCTTCTTTTCCAATGTTATCTTTACAGTCCAGGTTTTGCTTCCCTTCTCACTCTTGTCCACCTTAGCCTTGTTACTCCTTTAAGACTTTTGTGTCCAACTAATTAGCTTAAAGCCACCAAGAAGTGGGTGG
Source organism: Homo sapiens (assembly GCF_000001405.40). Classification (NCBI taxonomy): domain Eukaryota; kingdom Metazoa; phylum Chordata; class Mammalia; order Primates; family Hominidae; genus Homo; species Homo sapiens. The sequence goes on along the minus strand of NC_000002.12, from coordinate 29,657,113 downwards.
CAGGGCAAGGGCACTGGATCACAAAAGATCCACCTATTGGTTCATCCTCCTTGCAACTTCACCAATCTTACTTCAAGCTGGCAGCTTACCTGAACTGATGCCGTTTTCTATGTTAAATATTTTGCATGGGTGCTTTCTAGGAGGAAAAAGTGAGGAAGCAGAAGAGGGAGACACCATGCCCTTTATATAAGCAGGAAAAAAGGTTCTGAGTTTTGTTCTTTGAACAGTTTTTTTTCCCTGCAAAAAGGGATGGAGTAGTAGGATGGAGAATGAGGAGCAAGGATAAAGAAGTCTGTGATGGGAGCTTCAAACGCCATGTCTACCTCTCTGTGGAGTACATAAGGTTTGATCCCTCCTTGCTCATTGGATTCTGAGTCTCTCCACAAAGAGTGCACTACCTGGCTTTAAGTCCTGGCTTTACCACTCACTTGCTGTTTGACTGTGAACAGGACATCTAACTTCTTTGTGTTTCAGGTTCCTTGTGTGTAAAATGGAGACAATAATAGTTTCAGTTTCATAGGGTTGTTATATCAAATAAACTAATACATGTATGTCACATAGAAATGCCTGTGCATTGTAACTATTCAATGAATATTAGCTAGCACTATTACCTTAGCTAGGAATTGAGATATTAGCATTTGCTTTCAATATGTTCCCCTGCCTGTGGGAAGAAATATGTATACATTAGTTGGCCAGGTTTAAATACATGCTTACAGTCTCAGTCATTAGTGTCCTGTGGGATAGAAATGTAAAGTGCTTCAGTTGAGATACTTTAAAATTATTCATAGAATATTAGAGTTAGGACGGATCTTACATATCATTCAGTCAGTCCCTCTACCATTCCAATAAGGCCATGAAAGCTGGGCTTTATCATAGACTTTTGTCTTTAAGAACTTAGTATGTGTGTTGGGGGTGGGGTTAATGAAGTATTTAATGTAAAAATTTACATTTTTAAAATTCACCCTTTGTAGTGTACAGTCCCATGAATTTTGATAAACACACACAGCCCTGCAATCAAGGAAAAAAAATTTCCATCACCAAAAAAATGTTCTAGTGTCTCCTCTGTTTATTTAAACTTGTATATATACATATGCTTGTGACCCTCAGACAGAATGATACCTTCTTAGAGAAAGATGTTTGTGGATATAAATATGGACACAGGCATTTAGTAGCACAGCAGCTCTTCTCCTATGACCCAGTCTCCAGCTAGCATGACCATATGTCAATCAGCAGAGAAATGCATGAAGTATGAAGTCACTTGATATTTGACCTGGATTCGTTCCAAGTTGCTTAAACACAATCCTTCAGAAAAGAGAAACACATCTTTATACTTTATTTTCCATTTTCTTTCTATGAAGAGTATCTAGAACTTCTATAATTGTTCAAAGGCAATCCATGTTTGTGAGCTGATTTTTTAAATGAGCCTGATCTCTGAAATGAGCTGAGACCTTACAACTCCAAGGTGATGAGTGTTAGAGTCCAGAGATCATGGGCCTAAGCCCCAGAGGACTGTCATCTTGCCCTGTGTTGTTATGAGTGAGCTTTTCCAGGCCTCCCTGGACTCAGCTCAGAATAATCTGAGGGAGGACTGAATGCGTTCCTCATGCACTCTGTTGTTAGTGAAACCTCAGTGTTAGTGTGGGACCCCGTAAGATACTATCTTCAGCATTTTTTTCTTTTACCCCCAAAAAATGGCTTGGAAAAGGTAACATACAGAACTGGTGTATTATTATTTGCTATTTATTTGGACATCTTGACATCTTCCCAAAATTATAAAGCACAAAACCATTAATTAGGTTCACAAAAGGTGCACTTCCCTGTTTCTCTAGATCCTTAGTTTGTTAATGTCACCATATTCAGCCCCTACCAGCATTTTTATAATACCCCAGTATTGCCAAGTTTCCACCTACAGGAACTTCCTGAGTCTAATCCAAAGAACCTTCTTAGACTTTGAAGGTTGATAAATCAGAGACAGACATGGCTTATTCTTGTTTTTGCACTTTCCTATTAGTATTTTTGGACATTTCTCTGATTTATATTCCTGGAAACCAATATCTGGTCTTCAGCAGCTCAGATACTTTCAGCTTTTGAAGATGTCTTCAGTTGGTAGAACAAAAGAACTTGTTTTCTTAGCCTACAGTAAGCGAACAATGACAGAAGCAGCCAGTTCGTCATCTTTTCTTTATTAACAGATGTCAAAGTAATTGATGAGGGCTTTTTTTTCAACCTTTAGTATATTTTTTAAATGGATTGATTCTGGGGCATCTCAGTTCATTTACTGACAGTGTCTTAAGGAGGGGAATGTGGCTGTAATCAATTTTCATTATCATTGTGTAGCTAATAAGCCTAAAAATAAGAACTCTTAATTTGCTATGGCATGATTGATTACCCAAGAAGAATATGGAAATAACATCTTTCAATATGCCTGGAGAGTTACATTAGACCTCTAAAATTTCCATCTTCAAAACATATCACTTCCTATAATTTTCTATCCACTAATAAAATAACTCAGGACTCATAACATCACTTTTCTCTGGGTCCTAACCTCAAAGGGTGATCTCCAGTTGCAATTTTCATATTCAGTGTTCCCCTACCCACAAACTGTATGACCCAAGCTTCCTTTTTCATGGATTCTTTCCATCATTGTTTCTCTCAAAATAATTACTGGAAGGCATGCTAGACCTGGAAGACCCAAAGCAGCTTCCTGGAGCACTGACTGTTTGTATAACTCTCCCTAGAACAAAAGGAGGTCATCTGGAGCATGACAGCCATCACGGAGTCTCCAAGATGGTGTGGTAAAGACAGAAAGCTGAAGATCATATACTCTTATGAGCAAACCACTGGGCTGGGAATAAGGAGAACTTGGGTCCAAGTGCCAACTCTGTTTCATCCTTTTGGCCAACTCTTTTAATCTTTTAGACCTGTTTTCTCGTCTGAAAAATGAATACTAAATCCCATCCTATCTCACAGGGCTGTTGGACTATGCCAGTGACATAATGTGTATAAATTCACTTTTTAACCACACAATTCTGTATATTATTATTATTGTTGTTACTGCAACAGAGTCTTGCTCTGTCACCCAGGCTGGAGTGCAGTGGTGCCATCTCAGCTCACCGCAACCTCCCTTCCTGGGTTCAAATGATTCTCATGCCTCAGCCTCCTGAGTAGCTGGGATTACAGGCATGTGCCCTGCCCAGCTGATTTTTGTATTTTTAGTAGGGATAGGGTTTTGCCATGTTGGACAGGCTGGTCTTGAACTCCTGATCTCAAGTGATCCTCCTGCCTTGGCCTCCCAAAGTGCTGGAATTGCAGGTATGAGCCACTGTGCCCAGTCCTGTATATGATTTTTACTACTTTTTCTCATCTTCTCTATCTCCCTATTTTGAATCACCTCTTCCTCATACCGTGTATCTTCTCCCATTCCTTTACCTTCTGATAAAACTTTAGCCACCCTTTGCTCCTGCCTGACATTTATTGAGCATCCAATCCATATCTGGTCCTTTGGGATATGTTGGGACATTTAATCTTTACAGTAACTTGGTAGAGTACTTATTGCCATGACCCTTTTACAGACAAAGAAACTAACGTTCAAATTAAGTTAAGTTAGGTAAGCAAGAGGCAAAGTCATGATTTCAACGGAAGACGATCCAACCCTAGGTCACAGTTTCTCAGTGAGGAGCTTCTCGAGTCTAATTCTTGGTCTGGTCAAATTAAAAGACAAGATGTGATGTACCTAAAGACAGGGCGAAGGGAGAAGGAGTTGGGGAAAGTCCCAGGTGGATAAACTGGTGGCTTTTTCCCTCTTTAGCATCAATATTTCTTGTGGTTTTTAAACTATCCAGGTGAGGGTGGAAAAAAACACAGATTGGGTTTCTCAGCTCTCACGCCAAAAGTCAACACAGATAGAAGACATCTGTGACCACATGTATGGAGATTTTCCCCGCACACCAAGCAAGCAGGAAGTTCTGCAGCAAACACCAGCTGGGTATCCTCCAGTTCAGTTCTATTCTGACACTATCTACCTGGAGACAGCGTCAGACTCCACTGGTTGAGGGATCAGTCCCCAAAATGCCCCTGCTTCCTACCAGTCTTAAGTCCAAGCCTTAGGAACCTCTGCCTGACCAGCTTCAAGTTGGGGTTCTCACCATTGCCACTTTGGGTTTGATTAATTTGCTAGAGCAGCTCACAGAACTCAGAGAAACTTACTTATGTCTACCGATTTATTATAAAGGATATTACAAAGAATATAGATGACAAGATGTGTAGGGCAAGGTATGGGGAAGGGGTGTGGTGCTCCCATGCCCTCTCTGGGTGTGACACCTCCAGGAAGTTCCAGATGTTCAGCTACCCACAAGCTCTCTGAACCCTGTTCTTTGGAGTTTTTATGGAAACATCATTACCTAAGCGTGATTGATTACATTATTGACCATTGGTGATCAACTTAACCTTCAGCCACTTTGTCCTTCCCTGAGGCTGAGGGATGGGACTGAAAGTCCCTATCTTCTAATCCTGCCTTGGTCTTTCCAGTGACCAAATCCCATCCTGAAGCTACCTAGGGGCTGCCAGTCATCAGTCAATCATTAGCATACAAAAATGCATCACTTTGGAATTTTTAAGGATTTTAGGAATTGAATGCCAAGAAATGGGATCGAAAATGAAACATATTTCACAATATCACACCAAGAAACTTTCATTATGGAAAAGCATGGCTCTTAATGGATGCTTCAGCATTCTTCCCTTTGAGTTTAAATCACATCATGCAAAGAGAACTCGTTACTCCTTCATTAACCAAGCTCAATCATTTTTTATTTCACTATGGGCAGCAGACCCTAAGCCAGGGGTTCCCAATCTGAAGACTATAATGCCTGGGGAGTTATGATAAGGAATCCAGAAATTTATCTGTGGACTAAAAAGATAAAATGGCTGACATCTCTAGGTGCTATTTTAAAAAAATATAGATGAAATAGTGAATAATAAAATAGAAATTTGTTTAAGAGCATCACTAAATTCACAGGACAGTAGAAGCTCTCTTAATTAACCTTCCCTTTACCAGCTCTCTGTATTAGCTTTCCCTCTGTAAAGTATCATTTTTTTAAAAATTCCCAGAACTGAGCAGAACACTCTGTAAATTATCTTGATTGATGCCCATAGCATCCTGTACACTCGAGGCCTATAGGCTGTTCCCTTGCATACATGCACACTTCTGCTCACCAGTTAAGATGCTCACTTCCCAAGAGGCTATTGTATTTGTTCTAAAAGATATTTATGGTAATTATAAGATTCAATTGCAATGCAAGGAGAGAGCTATTGTTTCTATGAAAACTCAGTTGAATGCTGCAGAAAGATTCAATAAAGGCAAGCCAGTACAAAAGAAGTTGCTGCTGGATGAGGCAGGACCCCTGAGAACGACTCTCAAGTTGTCACTACACGACTCCAAGGGATACCCTGTGGCTGACGCCTCCTCGAGTTGTGCAGGGCATAACTGCAAAACAGCACACAGAAGCCTTTGAATTGGGTGACTCTCAGAGTTTGGAAAGAAAAACATAAATATCTCTGAGAAGATGCTATTGAAAATGATCCTCAGATCTTTTTAGGTTCTTATTCCCCATCACATAAACCCAAACTGAAAATTATAACCAATGCATTAAGGGTCTGATAAATGTGAGAAAGATGCTACGCAGAAGACATTGACCTTGGACATGACCCTCTATCAAGAGATTGGTGTATGAATATGTGTGTGTGTGTTAGTTAAAACAGAATGTTTAAGGTATCATAATTTATGGTTCTCTTACTTAACTAGCTCTTTAAATTAACATTTGTATCACTACTCCTTAGGGATTCCAGCCTTTGCTTGTTTTACACGTTCCCAACCAGCTTGAAGCGCAGCCCCCACTATCATGTCAGGAAGAGTGGTCTGGATGTGAGAAGCTTTGAAGTTACAGAGGAGATCTCTTTAGTGGCACTCAGATAGCTCTTAACTGAGAACAGGGTTGGGTAATTCCATCATTGTCATAGAGGGGGCTGAGATTTCTGCAAACACCCATATCGGCTTCTGTGTCTGCCACACACTCCCTGAACATCCCACACCACTGTTGTTTCAAGAACTCCAAGTCACCGTGCGGCGACTAGCAGACTCTGCATTCTCCATAATTACACCCAATTTTCCAATTGAATTATCGCATGATTTAATTCGTTTGGTGCATCTGGAGAGCATCAGCATTGTGCAGCTGTTGCAGCTTCAAGAGCTAATTGTTACCAAGCACATTAAAAGTAGCCCTATTGCAATGCTCTGAAGTCAGAGGGGAGGGGGCACACACTTTCACTTGCCATTTTCCCTTTGGTTGAATCATCACCCAAAGAGCCTGAGGGGGTAGCAAACATTTAAGCTCTGTTAACACGGAGACCTCATCGGGTATGGTTACTGTCACTGGATGAAACTTCTTAAGTGAGTCAGACATATCCAGATACCAGAAAACAGAGAAACCTGAAAGCTCTGTTTGGCATGTCTTAGAGAATCATGCCAAATAAGATTAGGTTAGAAACTAAAGGCAGTGTTAAAGGAGAGACAGTGCTTCATCAAAAAGTACTAGGAAGTCGATTGTTAAGGAAGCCCCGGGACGTCTTAAGACCCCAAATCTTACTTCTAGTAATAAGCCACCTTAAAGAGAGTTACCCTTTTCCATAATGAAAGTTTCTTGATGTGATATTGTGAAATATGTTTAGTTTTTTAATCCCATTTCTTGGCTTTCAAATCCTAAAATCCTTAGAAATTCCAAAGTGATGCATTTTTGCATGCTAATGATTGACTACTGACTGGCAGCCCCTACCTGGCTTCAGGATGGGGTCTGGTCACTGGAAAGACCAATACAGAATTAGAAGATTAGGACTTTTATAGCTGCTAACCTATCCATATGTTCAGTTCATCTTGATATGTTTCATTAGAGAATCTATTTTGTATATAACCATTTGAAGGCTTGCTTCAGTGTAAAATACTCCCTAATATTCATCTGCAATCTCTTGTTACTTAGGGTCTTAGAGTCAGGGGTCTGAAACTCTGGAAGGCATGGGTTGGACACTTTTCCTTCCTTCCCTTCCTTGTGGTTTTAAGGATGTGGAGTTTGATTCCCAAAGGGTCTCTGTCCTCTGCATAGATTTTGTGGTCTATACATATGCTTTCTTATGTGAAAGATAAAAATCATGAGTTCATGAAAAGATATTAGGGTTATCATATCTGAGCTGAGGGCTAGCCAGGGAGGAAAGCAGGCCATGGGGGGCCAAAGTAAGGGCTGGAGGGCAGAGGTGAGTCAACTGAAGGAGAGAATAGAGGGACCCTAAATGGAATATAAGGACAGAGTCCACAAGCCAGGCAGAGGTGAGAGCATGGGTGCACCATACCAACCACCAGGAGGTTGAGGAAGAGTCTGTATCCTGAACAGTGAGATGTCCTAGCCTGCTCCTCTTTCAGACTTCAGAACAGTGTAGTTAGTTGAATGCCCCCCTACTAAGGAAAAAAAGGGGGTTATTCCTCAAGGAGACTGGCATGCCCCAGAGAAAAATCTGTTATTGCCATGGGGAATCATTCAATGGTTCATTCCTGGCCCAATCACCCTCCTATGAAGTTTACAAGGCAACAGCCCTCATTCATGTGCATAGAAATTCCAATTGGCTTTGAATTTTTCATAAAGAACAACCAAGGATCAACAGATATTTGATGATAGCAGTTCTAACAGAAAGCACAGTGACTGAAACCAAAACGCAAATTAAAACAAAGGTCGGTGGTGAGGTGGGGTGAGGGTCTCAGAGTCAATACGGGGAGCAGGAATAAATATGAAACACACACTCTGTCACACACACACACACGCACGCACTTTCTCTCTCTCTCTCTCTCTCTCTCTCACATACACACACTCTCTCTCACACACACACATTGTAACCTCAGAAAGTGTCCAGCATAATTGAATCCCACACTATAAAAGGCATACACAATATCATATAATTATAAAACTTCAGAGTAATAGAAAATAAAGATTGTATGTCTTGCAAAGGAAAAAATATAGATCGTATACAAATGATGGGGAATCAGAGTAGCATCTGCATTAACATCTGCAATTTGGGGACCTAGAAGTCAGTTGATAAATGTGTTCAAAATGTGAATGGAAAATAATTTCCAATTTAGAATTCCATACCCAGCCAAACTATCATTAAATGTGAAGTTAAAATAAAGATTTTTTTTACACATGCAAAGTCTCAAAATATGTGCTTGTTGTGCATCCTTACTTAAAAAGTTACTGAAGGATATGCCACATCAAAATAAGAGAATAAAACAAAGAATAGGAAAACATGGGATCCAGAAGACAGAGGATCCATTTCAGAAGAGAGGAAAAGAGAATTCCTAGCATAATGTCAAAAGAAAGTAGTGGAGTGAATTGAAAGTGTTACATGCTACCACATGAGTGAGGCTTGAAATAATGATGCTAAATGAAATCAGCCAGTCACAAAAGGACAAATACTGTATGATTCCACTTATATGAGGTACCTAGAGTAGTCAAATTCACAGAGACAGACAGTAGAATGATGATTGCCAGAGACTAGGGGAATGAGGGAGTGGGGAGTGAATTGGTGTTTAATGAGCACAGAGTTTCAGGTTTACAAGGTGAAAAGAGTTCTGAAGATGGGTGGTGGTAATGGTTGCACAGGACTGTGAATGTACTTAATACCACCAAACTATATACTTAAAAATGAGTAAAATGGTAAATTTTATGTTATGTATATTTCACCACAATTTTTTAAAAAAAGAAAGTGTATGCTCTAGGAAGGGAGAATTAGGAGGGAGGGGCAGCTGTGTTTTGTTGTAAGCCTAGAGTACTAACTGATTTTTCAAATTATTTATGCGTAATACTTCAATAAAAATTAAAAAATGTTTAAACCTAAAACTAAATTGGGGTAGGCATTCCAGGCCAAGGGAACTGCATGAGCAAAGTCAATGAGGTGCAAAACAGCGTGCAGAGAACTTTAAGAATTTTCTTCTTCATGGAGAGGGTTGAACACATTGGGTAAAGGAGCTGCAGCTTTATTCTCTAGGCAGTGTTTCCCTACAGTGTGGAGCACACTTACAGATGAACATGATAACTTTGTCATCCAAATCCCTACATATTTAATTTTAATATTATCTTCTATTCATAATGAATGACACATTGGGTTTTAGTTTATGGTGATGACAATAATGATTTAGATTCCCTAAACTGAATCTAAGTTTATAAATATGAGTTGGTTTTAAGAAAAACATTAGGTGAATAATAGAGAGGCATGTGACTGTGGCAAAAAAAAAAAAAAAAAAAGAAAAAATCATGAACGTGGTGCATGGATTACTATGGTAGATGAAACACTTCTCTGAGCAATAGGAAGCCCTTGACGGTTTGTGTGAAAAGGGGCATTCAAGCTAAGTGTATGGACGGGCTTAATCAGGGGAATATGAACTTCATTCTACAGCTCCCTCAATTCCGGACGCTTCTTCACAGGCTGCCTTGAGGTGGGATGAAAGAGAGAGCTTCAAATAGAGATGCTCTGTTCTATATATGAGTCTACCTATAATTACAAAGGAGTGGCCACTAAACATGAAAGATTGCAGGCCACTGAGATAGATCATTCTGGTTAGGTGGGAATTAGGGGAGAAAGACTAAGAATGGGGAAGTCAACTGAGAAGCTGATGCAAGTGACCTAACAGGAGACTATGTGGGCCTGGCCCAGGACAGTATGCAGGGAGAAGAAGAGACATATTAGAGATGCAGAGCTCCTAACTGAATGCCCAGAGTTCTACCTAGTGGCAGCTCATCTGAACTATAAGTATAGCACTTAAGGAGAGATACACAACTCTTAGAGAACAAGCCTTACATGCCACAATACAGAAGTGATGGCAGAAGTTCATTGCCGTATTGAATTTTCTAACGTAACTTCCATTACTAGGAGCAGTTGTATTCAAAACTGATTTTGCCAAGCCCAGAAGAATGTGAAACTGGAAGAAGAGCCATATATTATATTACAAGGAAACTAGACTTGGATTCATCCATTCATTCATCCATTCATTCACCCCACAATTATTTGTTCAACACACATTGATTCAATACAACAGTGCAAGGAACTGGTTTATACACACAGACCCATCAGTGAACCCAATCAACATCAATCCCTGCTTTCTTGATCCTTTTACACTCATAGGAAGAAATAGGAAAAATAAGCAAAATGTACAATATGTTGAAAGTAAATAAGTGCTATAAAGGACAATAAAGCAAGGAAGGCAGGAGTGGTGTGGTGCAATTTTTGAAAGGGTGGTCAGGAAAGCTTTGTGTGACAGAGAAATTTGAACAAAGAATTGAAGGAGGTCAGATAATGAGCCACACAGCCATCTTGCGAGGGCCGACCAGGCAGAGGGAGTAATGACCACAAGGGCCCTGAAGCAGGAGAATGCCTGGAATATTCAGGGATGGCAAGACGACCATGTGGCTAGAGCAGAGTAAGGCAGGAGGAGAGTGGCAGGAGATGAGGTCAAAGAGGCTTCAGGGCAGGCTGTAAGCGTCTTGGAAACATCATAAGGACTTTGGCTTATACTCTTAGAGAAATGGAAGGTTTTGGAGGGTTTGGAGCAAAGGGAAAACATGTTCTAATGCAAGTTTTAAAAGGACCCCTTCAGCTGTCAAGTTGAGACTATAGTGAAACAAGGGCTGAAGCATGTAGATGTGTAGAAATATTTTCAAGAAACTAAGCAAGAAAAAGACAACTTGTATCAGATGCTGGAAGGGCAGATGGTAAGGAGTGGTGTTTTTGAGGCGGAGCCAATGACTTGGACATAGAATGTGAGAGAAAGAGAGGAAACAAGAGTGACTTCAATGGTTTTGGCCTGGGGGGGATAAAGTTGCAATTAATTGGGGTTAGAAATGACTACAGGTAGATCAAGTTTGTGTCAGTGACTCATGAATTTAGGTTCTAATGTGGGAAACTGGAATCATTCAATCCATAACAATGGCCAAGTGGAGATCTTAAGAAGGAAGAGAGATAAAGGGCCCTGGATCTCAGGGCAGTGGTCTCGGCTGAAGATACAAATCCAGGGTCTTCACTGGGGAGTTGTTCACTAGGGAGATGAGACTGAAGGAGATTTCCCAAGGGAATGAATGACTGTAGCTAAGAAAGAGTAGAAGACCAAAGGCTGGTCCCCATGGAACTCCAATATTAGCATCTTGGGGAGATGAGAAGGAACTAGTAAATGTGATTAAAGAAAGGATGATGAGGTAGGAGGAAAACCAAGAGAGCCCTGTGTCCCAGAAGTCAGGTGAAGGAAGTGTGGGTGTGGGAGTGACCAGCTGTGGGTGAATGCTGTCTATGGCCAAGGAAGAGCATCTGAGGGCTGAGGGTTGACCACTGGATGGAACAACACACTCCTTGATAGGAGCAGTGGTGGCACAGGATGGCGGAAAAAGCCTGGCTGGAGAAGGAATTGCTGGGCCCTGGTCCATTCCACCAAGTCACCATGCAACTTCTCTAGGGCCAGTCTTCTCATTTGTAAAGCGAAAAAGCTCCTACTAGCTCTAAAATTCTAAGATTTTATGATGATTCTAATGGAGTACGCTTTATTCTTTTCATGAAAATGATACCATGAGAGTATTTGGAATCTGAGAAAAATGTGGGTGAAAATGCGGGACATTCCTCAAGCTGACCATTGGGTCTTATATGAAAGAAGCCAAGTTTGTTTCCTGTTGAAAACAACTGAATACACACTTTCTGACTTTTCCCACAAGGAAAGACACCTCATTTATATTTGTATTTTTGGTTTTGTTCCGTGTGTAATATTGATCCTATTTAATTAAGATTTCCAGACTCTCATTAAACAGAGTTTATTTTGATAATTTCCCAAAACTGAGCCTTTACACTTTGATAACTCCACCTTTCTCATAGATGCACTTACCCACTACCACCTGGTGGTAGCAAAAATATTACAAAAGAGAAGAAAAGAGGAGAAAGTAAAGGCTCTTATTTTTAGTTTACTAGGCTCAAGGATTGGACCTGGATCTTTCTGGGCAGTCTTGGCTTTGGGACATCTCCAAGGCCTCCAAGACTGTGGGACCTGGAGGACCCTATGGAGAATTGACATTGGGTGCTTGGCCTGGAGTCCTTGCACCCAGAGCCAGTGAAATCTAAACACACTGAATATTTATGAGATATTCCTAGGGGAATGAACCAAGCAAGTCAGGATCATTATAATTAATTCTGATTTTCTGAAACTACTTGAAATTTCTATTTAAGGAATGATCCATGCATGAATTGTTTTTAAAACTTACCTTTTTAATACGTACTTTTAGAAATTTGTTTCTAGTAAAGGTTGAGCTTTTTGTTTTTTTTTAAGGTCTTCCATCTGTGTCGGAGACAAACTGAGCATATCTGGTTGCTAGGGGTATAAACTTCTATAAATGATCAGCAAGCATAATGGCTAGCAATTTGATTCCTACATGAATGGAGAAGTTGCTGCTTTCCCTGGAGAGTGGGGGGAAAAAAAAACCTTAATTTGAAAAGATATATAGGCTTTATTCTGCTCTTGCAAAGACACACAGACATGACTGTAATCTCTCTGTGTTTCTGAAACCACAGGGAAAGCTAGAAGCAGCTCTAGGTGAAAAATACTGAAGGATAGCAGGAAACTACTAGATTTCTTTCCTTTTTTTTTTTAAATATACTTTAAGTTTTAGGGTACATGTGCACAACGTGCAGGTTTGTTACATATGTAAACATGTGCCATGTTGGTGTGCTGTACCCATTAACTCATCATTTAACTTTAGGTATATCTCCTAAAGCTATCCCTCCCCCCTCCCCCCACCCCGCAACAGGCCCCAGTGTGTGATGTTCCCCTTCCTGTGTCCATGTGTTCTCATTGTTCAATTCCCACCTATGAGTGAGAATATGCGGTGTTTGGTTTTTTGTCCTTGCGATAGTTTGCTGAGAATGATGGTTTCCAGCTTCATCCATGTCCCTACAAAGGACGTGAACTCATCATTTTTTATGGCTGCATAGTATTCCATGGTGTATATGTGCCACATTTTCTTAATCCAGTCTATCATTGTTGGACATTTAGGTTGGTTCCAAGTCTTTGCTGTTGTGAATAGTGCCACAATAAACATACGTGTGCATGTGTCTTTATAGCAGCATGTTTTGTAATCCCTCAGGTATATACCCAGTAATGGGATGGCTGGGTCAAATGGTATTCCTAGTTCTAGATCCCTGAGGAATTGCCACACTGACTTCCACAATGGTTGAACTAGTTTACCGTCCCACCAACAGTGTAAAAGTGTTCCTGTTTCTCCACATCCTCTCCATCACCTGTTGGGAAACTACTAGATTTCGATTGTTATAGTATGCCCATTTCCTCCCCTCCCTAACCTGATTGATCTGAGCCAGCTCAGGAAAGAGGGTCTAAGTTATAAGACAGAGCCACAGTTATAAATGGCCTCCCCACTGTTCACCCGCTCCTGGCTCAGGTCCTCATTGCCCTCCACCAAGCCTTTTGCAATGCCCATCCTCTAGGTTTTCAGTGTCCAATTCTCTTAGCCAGCATTTTCCTCCAAAGACTCAGGCTTGGCTTTGTCACTCCTCTATTTAGAAAGTTATTGGTTGCTCCTATTGCTTTAGAATAAAGATCAAATTTCTTAGACTAAAATTAAAAACTCTCCACAATCTTTCCAACATATTTTTTGAATTACTTGTCTTCATGCAGGGGCCACTCAAGTCAACTTTGTTATGTTCAGATGTCCACACACTATATGTGGTAACCAGTTTGCCTTTGCAGATGCCATTCCCTTTCCTGGTGATGTATCTTGCTTCCCAGTACCAGCCCTGGAAACTTTAATACCTGCCCATATCATTTTAACTTTTCAATGCATATTTCAAACCCACCATGACCCCCAAGAAACCATTATTATTTTTCCCCAGCCAAAAAGATTATCTTCTTTGGCTTTCCCCCATACCATTTTATCTCTTTGGCTTTCCCCCATACCATTTTATCTCTGTCTCTTTTAAATCTTCACTTCTTACTTTCTATTAGGTGTTATTATTATTCCTAAATTTTAAATCTCTAATAAACTCTGAGCTCCCAGAGGAAAGAGGCAGGTTGGATTTAATCTCACATAGTATGATACTTGGGGTACCAAACTATGTAGGTGCTAAATAAAAGTTGGTGGAATAAATGACTAAATGATAGTTACTGAAACAATTCCTGAAGACAGTAGGCAAACTGAGTTTAAATTCAAGTAGAGAAGTAAATATGGAAAGAGATTGGGATTTATCCATGTAGTACTAATGGAAGAAATTATAACAGGTTTTTTGTTGTTGTTGCTTATTTTGATTTGCCTGTTTTTCTTTTTTTAAAGAAGAGCTGAATAGGTGAGAGTTGAGTCTGAGACAGGAGAGAAACTGCAGAACACAGCTCAGGATGAGAAGGACCCAGTGAAAAAGGAAGCTGAAAGAGAGGAGGATATTTAATGCCCCTGAGAAGAAATTTATGCCGACCCAGATTTGAAGTCAACCTCTGATTATCTACTATTTATATATTTTAAAGAAATATGCAGGAGATTTTAGTGCTTCCTTTTTTGTTTGTCTCTCAATATATGCATGAGCCAGCACAATTCAGGACTTGATTTACCTTTGCTGATTCGGCTTCTTTTCTCTGAGCTTATTTATGGCTGTGAGAGAGGCATTCTGTCCTTGCTGATAAAGGACAACCGAATTGCATTCAAAGCTCAGCCACTGAGTTGCTTTGCTTCTGCTAGAAAGTTGGTTTCTTCTCCAATGGCCAAGTTTTCCTGAACTATAGGAAATAAGGTGCATATTTGAAAGGTAGAGTCCTAGACTAGAACTTCTCAAATTTTAATGTTCCTCCAAATCTTCCAGGACTCTTGTTGAAAGAGTAAATTCTACTTCAGCAGTTCTGGGGTGGGGCTGAGAGTCTATATGTCTGACAAGCTCCCAGGTGGACCACACTGCAAAGCAGTGTCCTAGACTTTTGAAGACAGAAGGAACTTGAGAGGTCATCCAAGCAAGTGGTTCAAAATACAAATTCTCAGGCTCCACATACAAAGAATCATGGATGGAGCCCAAAGAGGTGAATTTTTGATAAGTTTCCTAGCTCATTCTTATGTATACCTGGGTTTGGAAACCACAAATTAGTCTGATCCCCCATTAGGGATAGCAAAACTGAGGCCCAGAGACTAATTGAATTCCATGAAGAAAAGTTTCTGTTTATATGAAAGGGGCTTTCCTGAAAGGATAACCCTTATACATTTTGCTGCCCTAAGTGAAGGTTCCCCTTTAAAGCCACAGAAATAACTAGATCATCTATATAATTTATTTCTTAAAAGCTACTAGCAGAGAAAAGCAATTTTTTCTGCCTCTTTTAGAATGACAAATACTCTAAGTTATTTTAGTTTTGTGCTAATAGTAGGGGGTGGTGGTGGTGGTGGTAAGGAATGGCTATTAAGCAATTATGTTATTCAAACACATCATTATTATTATTACCAAGATGAGTGGACTCATTATAATTGAACAATAAAAGCATGAATGACTTTGCATTGTTATTAGTGTCTGTCTCAGGGCCCCTGTTTTTCCCAGGGGCTGTTCAGCAGATCCAACTCACAATGTACTGGACTTGCGGTGGTTCACTTGCAGGCAATTGGATTGTTTTTTCAGAATCACGCGCTGTGGTCATCTTTTCTTTTCTGGTACTGACCTACTGTTCATTCAAGACTCTTGCCGCCCCCACCTCCTGCTCAGAAAACCTAATCCTTGAAAGACTGTGGCCTCCCTGACTCCACTCTTGTCACCTTCCTATCCTTTTTTTTCACACAGCAGCTAGTGATCATCAGAACTGTGAACTGGCATTAAAATTCCCTTGCTTGAAACCTGCCAATATCTGCCTATTTATTTTAGGATAAAACACAAATCCTTGGCAAAGCTTTCCAGGCCCTTAATGAAGTGTGCCACTTCCTTCAGCAGCCCCACTGGGAGCTGTTCCTCTTCTTCCCCTCACCATCACTGCCCCCGCCAAGCACTATACTGTTTTCAGCTTCTGGAATGTCCCGACATCTCCAGTTTCTGGAATATTCTAACACCTCTCTGACTTAGGGGATTTGTACATGCTCTTCTTTCTATTCATAATACTCTTTCCCTAGCTGTTTAGTTCTTATCCTTAAGATTTCAGCTTAAATGTCTATTTCTCCTTCACTACCTGACTAATTCAACACCCCATATGGACCCCTTCCATAATCCTGGCACTTCACCATTGGTAGCGGTGTCTACACCAGTAATTACTTGCTTAATGTATTTCTTCCCCCACTAATAGTAAGCCCCAAAAGGACATAACTGTCCTTTCGAGACTAACTCCATATTGTTCAACACATACCTGGTATATTAGGCCATCTTCACATTGTTCTAAAGAAATACCTAAGACTGGATAATTTATAAGAAAAGAGGTTTAATGGCTCACGGTTCTGCAGGCTGTACAGGAATGTGGCCTGTCCAGCTTCTCATGTATAGGCATGTACAGAATGTGGCGCCTGCTCAGCTTCTTTCCTCAGGAAACTTACAATCATGGCAGAAGGCAGAGGGGAAGCAGGCACATCACTTGGCCAGAGCAGAAGCAAGAGACAGATCGTAGGAAGTAGGTGTCACACACTTTTAAACAACCAGAGCTCATGAGAACTCACTCACCCTCATGCGGACAGTGCCATGGGACCGGTGCCAAACCACTCATGAGAATTCCACCCCCATGATCCAGTCCCTTCCCCACCAAGCCCCACCTCCAACATTGGCGATTACTGTTCAATGTGAGATTTAACTGGGGACAAATATACAAACTGTATCACCCGGCACATAGTAAATGCTTAATAGTTACTTACTGAGGAGATGAATGTTTGAGAATCCACCAGGTACTGAAATTGCAATAGAGAATCATGGAGACAGAAGGGGGAACTGGAGGCACTGGACCTCCCTCTGTCTAATTCGCAGCATTAGGTGCTGAGCTTCTTCTTCTGTAGTTGCATCTCCCCTACCCCTCCACCATATGTTTAAAAAAGTTTAAGTGATTAAAATATGTTTTATCCCTAAGTTGAACGTCAAGACCCAGCACATTTGATCTAGGTTTCCTAGAACTGTGGTGGCATTGTTACTCTGGGAGGATATGTGGATGAAATCATGCAAACCCTGGACCTGAACTTTCATAGGATGTTGTCGAAGATGCTGTTCACGACAGCACTCCCTGTTCCCTATGTAAAGACACACCTAAGAAATGTCTCTTGTAGATTTAAATGTCAGGAAGACCTTTGCTTCCTTGAAAAACTGCTGAGTGTTTGCCTTATGTTCACTGAATTCGTGAACCATGTTTTTCTCTCTTAGCTTTGACTGCCAGAAAGCTCAGAGTCACATTCTCTGCTCAATTTTTGTAACTGTAGAAGCCTATAGCTCGCACACCTGGCAATGTAACTTTGCCCTAGTCTTGATTTCCTATTCTATAAATATATTCTCCCCGGTCTCAGTTTATTAAATTATTTGTAGCTTTTTATTTTAGAGTGCAAAGTCTTGTAAGTTTGCTCAAATCCTTAGTGGAATGTGGCAAGGAGATATATGAAAGAAAGAAATGCATGAGGTTCTGAGATACATTCCGTTTAACTTGCAGAGGGTTCCTATCTGTGGGTGGTCCTGGCAGGGGCAGTGCACAGAAGGAGCCCTGCTGACATGGGTGTCTGTGCACCACGCAAGGACACAGCAGGGTTTCTAGAAGAGGAACCCTCTGGAACAGCTTACGGAGGTGGTTTTGTTCCTGATCTCCTGCCGAAGCTACCCTCAGGTGACCCAGAAGTGTGAGTGATGCCGACCTCCATGCAAGATCCGAATCCTTTTCTGGGGAGTGGCTAAATATGAGCCCTGTAACCTGTCCTGAAATTCTGTGTGAAAGCTAGATTTCTGCTGGCATGAGGTCTTCTACTATAAGGTCAGAATTAGAGTGTTTTCTTAGCTAAGACTATAATTTCAGCTACTTTCTAATTCTCCTTACGTGCCCAGTATTGCTGTAGAAGCCCTATTTGTTTTCAATAAAGCTGGCATTTATTTCTTGTCTAAGAGAGCAGGAGCAACCATGTGGTCCACATGTACTGAACACGGGATGCCATGCATGTCCCTCACACAGGCTGATTTGTGAAGGAGCCTCATTCTCTGCATTTTGTATATGGGTAAAACATGTATAAACATGTATATGGCTCAGGGAGAGAGATTTGTCAGAGGTCACTAGCTAATGAGAGGGGGTGCTGTGGTTCAGTCCCAGTCTTCTGATCCCAAATAGGCAGATCCTCTACAGCCCATTTCAGATGGTGTTAGAACAGAGAAACTGTAGGGCAAGAAACAGGCCACTCCATGGGTGAGATAAGGAGCTGTTCCATGTGAAGCTGGGAAAGGACTAACAGGCAGGCAGAAGAGAAAGGACGAGACCCTTGCAAGGATTCAGCCACATCCTTGGTGTACATGCCCCTGCCCCAGCATTATCCGCATCCATCTCCCCCCACCCCCACCCTACTCCATCATCCTTGCCCTGTGGTCATTGCCACAAACAAGTTCCCTGACACTCGAAGCTGTCCTGGCTGTCATCATTCTTGTCTCCCCAAACAAAATGAAGATTGCTTGAGTGGAGAGCTTTCATCCACAGCCTTGTTAGGGTAGGAGGAGCTCTTGGAAGGTGTATACTAGTCAATGAAGGTTTATATTGGCAAAAAGTTACTATGTGTTGATGTACAGTCATGTTCTGTGCCCCTAGGCACAGACTTCACAATAACTTGGTGTGGTAGACACCATTACCTTTCTATATTGCAGGTCCCCATGGTCATGCAGTTAGCAGGTGCTGGTGTCCCAGCTTCCTGCCTCCGCTTTCCGCCATTGTTGAGATGCCAAAAATGGCTATCAGAGCCCTCCAAGTATCTCAAGTTTAAGGTGTGCTTTAGGGAAAACGGAGTCAATAGAGAAGAACATATTCCACAGCCCTCTAAAAAGCTCTGATCTGAACACTAGAGCTCTGCTTATTTCATTGACATATACATTGATTTTTTTTTCAAGTTTATTTCAAAATTCTGTATCGGGTTTAATTACCAGCTTGAGTTTTAATAGCAACTATATATGTTTTAATTAAACTTATTATGTTGAAAGAATTATGGATTCATATACAGTTATAAAATAATATAGATTTCATTTCCCTTTTTACACAATTTCCACTAACAGTAATATCTTGAAAACATAAGTGTGATATCACAACCATGATATTGACATTGACAGAGTTAAGGTACAGAACATTCCCAGCACCACAAAGAGTCCTCTTTTTTTTTTTTTGGAGACGGAGTCTTGCTCTGTCACCCAGGCTGGAGTGCGGCGGTGCAATGTCGGCTCACTGCAACCTCCACCTCGTGGGTTCAAGCAGTTATCCTACCTCAGCCTCCCAAGTAGTTGGTATTACAGGCCTATACCACCACGCCCGGCTAATTTTGTATTTTTTAGTAGAGAAGGGATTTCACCATGTTGGCCAGGCTGGCCTCGAACTCCCAACCTCAAATGATCCACCCGCCTGTTGCTTTTTTATATTCTCATCCACTTCCCTCCTCTCTCATCACTTCCTTAACCCCTGGAAACTACTAATCTCTTCTCCATTTCTACACTTTTGTAAGTTTAAACATGCTATACAAATGGAGTCGTAAGGCATAAAACCTGTTGAACTTGGCTTTTCTTACTCACCATACATTTTCTGGAGATGTATCTAAGTTTTCACACGTATGAATAATTTTTTTCTTTTATTGCTGAGTGATATTCCATGGTATGGAGGTACCACAGTTTGTTTAATCATACATCCATGGAGGAACATGTTGGTTTCTAGTTTGGGACCATTATGAATAAAATTGCTCTAAATATTTGTGTACAGATTTTTGTGTGAACATGTCTTCATTTCTCTGGAATACATTTTCAGGAGAGCAACCACTGAGTCCTGTGGTAATGGCATGTTTACTTTTATAAGAAACTGCCAAACTGTCTTCCAGAGTGGCTGTACCATGTTACTCTCATCAGCAATGTAGGAGTGATGTAGTTTCTCTGAATCCTTATCAGTATTTGGTGTTGTCATTTTTTATTGTAGCCATTCTGACAGATGTGAGGTGATAGCTCAGTGTGGTTGTAATTTGCGTTTTCCTAATAGTTAATGATATTTAACATCTTTCGTGTGCTTATTTTCCAGCTGTTTATCCTTTTTGATACAATGTGCCTTTAAATCTTTTGCCTGTTTTCTAATTTGAATATTTTTAATTGTTGAATTTTGAGGTTTTTAAATATTCTAGATACTAGTCTTTTCTCAGAAGTGTGGTTTGTAAATATTTTCTCCCAGTCTGCAGCTTATCTTTTCATCCTATAAACAGGATCTTTTTGCAGAGCAAAAGTTTTTAATTTTGATGAAATCTAATTTACCAAATTTTTCTTTTATAGATAGTGTTTTTTGGTGCCAAGTCTAAGAACTCTTTCTGTTGCCCTACTTCCTCAAAATTTTATCCTATTTTTTTAAAGTGTTATAATTTTACATCTTACATTTAAGTCCATGATTCATTTTGAGTTAGCTTTTATTAACTAAAAATTCTGACCTAAGGTCATTTGTTTCTTCTCCATTTTTCTTTATCTTTCTTTTCTTTTCTTTTCTTTTCTTTTCTTTTCTTTTCTTTTCTTTCTTTCTTTATTTTTGGCCTCTGGATGTCCAATTGCTCCAAGACCATTTATTATTTGTTGCAAGCCTATCCTTCCTCTATTGAGCTGTTTTTGTACCTTTATCAAGAATATGGGCATATTTGTATGTGTCTGTTTCTGTGTTCTCATTTCATTCCATTGATCTATGTGTATATTCCTCCCCCAACACCACATGTCTTGATTACTGTAGCTATATAGTATCTTGAATTCAGGTAAAGCAATTCTTCCCACTTTATTCTTCTTTTTCAGAAGTATTTTAGCTATTCTAGTTCCTTTTTCACAAGAATCTTCCTGGGATTCTGATAGGAATTGTGCTAAACCTTGTATTAGTTTCGTGTGGCCGCTGTAACAAATGACCACAAGCTTGGTCATTTAAAACAATAGAAATGTGGCTGGACACAGTGACTCATGCCTGTAATCCCAGCACTTTCGGAGGTCGAGGTGGGTGGATTACTTGAGGTCAGGAGTTCGTGACCAGTCTGGCCAACATGATAGAACCCTCACATGTACCCTAGAACTTAAAGTATAATTAAAAAAAAAAAATACAAAAATTATCCAGGCATGGTGGTGCATATTTGTAATCCCAGCTACTCGGGAGTCTGAGGCATGAGAATCACTTGAACCTGGGAGGCGGAGGTTGCAGTGAGCCGAGATCACACCTGGGGGACAGAGTGAGACTCTGTCTCAAAAAATAAAATAAAATAAAACAATAGAAATGTATTATCCAGAGTTCTAAAGGCCAGAAATTAAAAATCAAAGTGTCAGCAGAGCCATTCTCCCTCAAGAGGCTCTCGGGGAGAATTCTTTCCTTGCCTCTTCCAGCTTCTGGTAGCTGCTGACATCCCTTGGCCACATCACTCCAATCTCTGCCTGTCTTTACATCATAATCTCTGCATAATATCTGTACAATTGTCAACTGCCTCTCTCTTGTAAGGACACTTGTGATTGAATGTAGGGCTCACCTGGATCATCTAGGTTAATACCCCCTTGTCAAGATCTTTAATTTAACCATATCTGTGAAGACCACATTTCCTTATAAGGCAATATTTAGTTTAGAACCTGTTATCTTTGGGTGGTTATTATTCATCCTGTTACAAACCTATATATCTATTTTGGGGAAATTGACAACTTTACTATATTAAGACTTCCAATCCATGAACTTAGTATTCTTTCCATTTATGTAGCTCTTCTTTGATTTGCATCATCAGCATTTAGTAGTTTTCAGCACACAAATTCTGTACCGGTTTTGTTAGATTTAAGCCTAAGTGTTATTTTTTGAGTAATTACAAATGTTATTGTATTCCTAATTTTGATGCCTGGGTGTTCATTGCTAGTATAGAGAAATACAATTGATTTTTGTATATTGACCTTGAATCCTGCAGCCTTGCTGAATTCACTTATTAGTTGTAGGAGTATTTTGATTAATCATATATTTTCTATACAGACAACTATGCCCTCTGAAAATAGGGACAGTTTTATTTATTCCTTTCTGATATATATGTCTTTTATTTCTGTTTCTTTGTTTGTTATTTATGTATTTTTGCCCTATTGCCCTGACTATAACTTCCAGTACTATATTGAATAGCAGTCGTTAGTGTGGACATCTTGCTTTAAATCTCAGAAGGAAAGTAGTCAGTCTTTTACTATTATATACAGTGTTAGCTATAGAGTTTAATTTGTAGATTTATCAAGTTGAAGAAGTTCCTCTCTCCCTATCTACTTTTCTGGGTTTTAATCATGAATGAGTGTTGAATTTATCTATTGCTTTTTCTTCATGAATTGATATTATCATGTGATTTATCTTCTTTAGCTTGTCAATATGGTACATTATATTGATTGATTTTTTTAATATTGAACCAGCCTTGCATCCCTGAAATAGCTCCCAGTTAATCATGGTATATAATTCTTTTTATATTGCTCAACTCTGTTGGGCAATATTTTGTTAAAGATGTTTGCATCTATATTCAGTAGGGATATTGATTTGGAGTTTTGCTTTTGTTTTGTACTGTCTCTGTTTGATTTTGGTTTTGGAGTAATACTAGCTTCATAAAATGAATTGGAAACCAGCACCGCAGTGTGTCACTAATCCTAGCTATTCGAGAGGGTGAGGCAGGAGAATCACTTGAACCGGGAGGCAGAGGGTGCAGTGAGCTGAGATTGCACCACTGCACTCCAGCCTGGGTGACAGAGCGAAAAAAAAAAATGTGCACCAGTCATCCTTTCATGAATAGCCAGGACACCTGGACAACATAGTGAGACTCTTTCTCTAAAATATATATAAATGAAATGGAAATTGTACCTCTTCTATTTGTATATAATTGGTATTAATTCTTTATATGTTTGGTGGAATTTTTCAATAAAGCCATCTGGTCCTGGAGATTTCTTTTGGGGGAGTTTTTAATGGCAAATTTATTATCTGAATAGTTACAGGGCTGTTCAAATTACCTATTTCATATTGGTTGACTTGTGGTGGTTTGTGTTTTTCAAGGAATTGGCCCATTTTATCTATGTTGTTAAATGTATACGTGTAGAATTGTTTGTAGTATTCCCTTATTACGCTTTTGATGGTTGAATGCTCCATAGCAACCCTTGTTTCCTTCCTCATATTGGTAATTTGCATTTTCTCTTTTTTTCCTTTGTCATTCTAGCTAGAGGTATGTTAATTGTATTGATCTTTTCAAAGAGCTAGCTCTTTGTTTTAATTAAATTAGTCTATTGTCTTTATGTTTTCAATTTCATTGATTTTTTTCTCTATATTTATTATATCTTCTGCTTGCTATTAGTTTATTGTGCTCTTCTTTTTCTAGTTTTTTGAATTGGGAGCATAGATTGTTGATTTGAGAATTGTATTCTTTTCTAATGTAAGCATTTGGTGTTATTAATTTTCTTTTCATCACTGCCTTAACTGTGTCCCACAAATTTCGATTTTAATCTAGTTCAATGTGTTTTTTAAATTTACTTGAGACTTCCTTTGGGATCTATGTGTAATAGCTGACATGGGTAAATCTCTCCCACACCTCCTGAGCTCAGAACAAGAGTGCAGCCTTTTCAGCATGTTCTAAAGATTATTTTGACATGATCACTGTTATGACTATGATGAAGAAAATATTTCCAGGAATGAGAAATCAGGTCATTCAGCCTATGAGGATCATCATGGACTTAGTCCACCACCAGCCCAAAGTGTAAGATGTCTGCTCAGGCTTCCATAACAACCATAGATGAGGTTGTGTAACTAAGAGAGATTTCTGTTCTAGAGGTTAGAAGTTCAAGATCAGAGTGTCAGCGTGGTGGATGATATGGTTTGTTCCTGTGTCCCCACCCAAATCTCATCTTGAATTGTACTCCCATAATTCCCAGGTGTTGTGGGAGGGGCGCAGTGGGAGCTAATTGAATCATGGGAGCAGTTTCCCCCATACTGTTCTCATGGTAGTAAATAAGTCTCATGAGATCTGATGGTTTTATCAGGGGGTTCTGCTTTTGCATCTTTCTCATCCTCTCTTCGCCTGCCACCATCCACATAAGATGTGACTTGCTCCTCCTTGCCTTCCACCATGATTTTGAGGCGTCCCCAGCCATGTGGAACAGTGAGTTCTCCATTAAACCTCTTTCCTTTGTAAATTGCCCAGTCTCAGGTATGTCTTTATTGGCAGCGTGAAAATGGACTAATACAGTGGGTTTCCGCTGAGGGCTCTCTTCCTGGCTTGCAGATGGCTGCCTTCTCACTGCATCTTCACATGGTGGGGAATGGGGAGAGAGAAAGATTTTTCTCTTCCTCTTCAGGTAAGGCCACCAATTCTATCAGATTAGGGCTTCAGCCATAATTACCTTTTACAACCTTATTTATTTAAATTTAATATTATTTACTATAACTTTAATTTAATCTTATCTCTTAAATTTAACCATATTTATCTTCTAGATTACTAAATGTAACCTTAATTACCTCTTAAGATCCCTATCTCCAAATACAATCATACTGGGGCCTAGGACTTCAACTTATGAATTTGGCAGGAGAGGGACACAATTCACTCCATAATACTTGCATTCCCACTAACCCTGTACTCTACAAGGAAAACCTGGCTGTTACTCACATCTCACAGTTTATTTCTGTATCACTCATTTTTATTGACTCATACTTTGTGCAAAGCTCTGCACCAGACAGCACGTAGGCATGCCCTCTGGGAGTTACCACCTATCCTGGGGGAGAGAGAAGAAGAAACTTTCTACATGACCCAACCCTAAGAGATGAATCCGGACCCACATCCTGTCTCCACCAGTTACTATGTGCATGGGATTTGTGCAATTTTCTTATTTCTACCCTTCAGTGCTGCTTAGAAGCAATCCCTATTCTGCCTCCAAGAGTTACAATGATCGAATGATACATGTGTGAGATGTGCACGTGAAATACAGTAACACACAATACATAGCTGTCATATGGTAGAAAATGGTAACCTGATTCAGGTCACTAGAGCAGAGGATATGTGGCTAGATAGCAAGGAGACTGAGGTAGGACACATGGAATGGGATTAAATGGTGTGGGGCCTTGAGGGCCACGTTGTGATACCTAATCTTTATTCTCAAGCCAGGTTAACTGTGAAGTTCAGTGCAAATCTGATTTACAGCTTTCAGAAAACCTTCACATTCATTTTCATTTGATGTATGAACAGCCTTTTGAATTGCACAGGGCAGGTACTGTTTTTTCAGTTTTAGAGATTTCAAGCAATGAAATCAAAGAGGTTAACTAATTCACTAAGATCCTACAGCTAGTAGGTAGCAGAGCTGGGATTTCCAACTCCTGTTCCAGTCCTGTGTCAGCAGCCCTGCCAGCTGCTGCAGGAATGCACAACCCGTCCCAGGATGGGATCTAGAATTAAAGCCCATTTCCATGCTCACTGTTCCACAAATATTAGTAGAGCCAGAAGCAGAGGCTCCTCCATGTCAGCAAGATTCCCCTGATTGATCTGAACTGTTTTGAGTTTAGAAACAGCTTACAGCTCTAATCTGATGTGATGATAAAATCTGGATTTCCTTTCATTTGTCAAAGTTTTACTTCATCTGCATCACCCTCATCATGAGATATAGCCTAGGGGCCCAAATCATCGCTTGTTCAATAATGCATATTAATGGGGAATTTTCTCAAATGAAAATGAGCGATATCTATGACATAATGAATGCCCAAGTTTTTCCCAAATCTTAAAGCTGCATATATAACTATGAACATGTGTTATTCACTTACATTTTTATTTAGTTTGTGTAGATTCAGTTAGTACAGTCTCACCGTGGTCATTTTATCTACAGATCTGTGAATTTGCTTTTTTATTTGAATACGTTGCACATATATGTTTTTAAATTGCTACCTTTCTTGAAGAACCCTAAGCACCATGTGCTATACAAATCGCAGCTAAATACATCTATATAGAGAGGGATGAGTAATGGATCTTCATGAACAATGGCTTATGTGATGCTGGAGTTTATAAGCCTTGTCCACAAGAATAAAAAAGATGTCAGTAAGTAACTAGGCTAAAAGTCTTGCAGTGTAAATACCAAAGTTCCTCAAAGACGTAGACAACAAAATTTCAAAATATAGCCTGGGTTAATCTAGTATATATTTCCTGTGAAAATATAACTCTTCATTAAGAAAGCAAAGCATTAATCTAGAAAGATTCCTGATACCTGGTGGTTTATATAACATTTTAGTGATACCCTTAAGAACAATATTTTAAAAATTATATTAAAATTATAAATACCTAATACACTCAGGTACTTAATAATTGCCAACCTTAATTTCATTTCTCTTTTCCTTCTCTGCTTTCCATAAAAGCTTAACATTTTCTTCTCATTTATGGTAGTTTGGATGTCAAAAGTCCCTAGGCTACCATAAAACTCCCTGGTGCTTAGAATTAGAGACCCTGTAATTAGGCTTAATATCACCTGTAAGAAAAAAAATAATAAATAAAATTTCTTATCTATGATGTCTCTGTTAATACCAGAGAATCACTAAAGTCACCTTTTAGCTATTTCTTTACTCTCCTCTTTCTTTGCAAGGAGGAGGAACTTTTATTTTCTCCACGATGGGCTTGGCAGAAGCTAGGAGAAATATCCACGATCTACTTTGGGCACCTTCCTATTCATCCACGACTGTTGTTCTCCAATCAAGTGTCCTTCTACCTCACCTCCTCCGTGCTTATTCCAATGCTTTAAGGCACATGTGGCCAGTCAATCAAATTTCCGCCCAGACTCTAATTGCATTGTGTGTCGAAGAAAGGCAACTGACATGAAATACCTTTAAAGCATAATATCTTCCTATTTATTATTAAACTGCTTTTATGGGCAGGGGTGGGGAGGAAAATGGAATCTGTTTGTCGGGTAGACTACTGCCTCAAGAATATGTTCATCATTTTATAGATCTAGGAATGTATTACTTCCAATTGGCTTCATGGTTAAAACTGTGAATGTGAAGTCAGGCCAACCTGCATTCAAATCCTCAAAGATCTATCACCTGCCTCAGTGTGACTTACTGCTTTGACCTGTAAAATGAGACTAATAACTGTCTGTACCTCAGAGGGTTGCTGTCAGGATTAGCCAAGATCATGTATATAAAGGGCTTATTGCAGTGTGCCTGGCAACTCATTACTGAGTAACATTACTCAGTAATGTTAGATGGTATTAACATTGTTGTGGTTGAAAGACAGTGCTTAATAAGTGGACAGAAAATGCCTTGGATTATGATTTCTTAGAATCTGTGCTAGGTGTAACAGAAAGAATTATGAGAGCAATTTAAGATTATTCAAGATTTTCCTCTAAACTTTAGCTTCAAAAATCCTAGAGGAAAACTCTGACCAGTATGTAGGAAAGTTCTATATTCCATCTCAAGAAAGATTCAAACAAGTAAAACTCCTGTTGTGGGCCATTGTATGTCTGTTCATTGTCATATTCCTCTGCTTGAAGAAACCTGTAGTTAGAAAACAGTTTTCCATTTATGCCATTCTTTCCTGAGGGTCTCAAGTTTTCTAGCATTTATATACAGAGTTAGTTTGTAAAAATACAATAAAGGTTTAAATATTTATTATGACAAATTGTTTTCATCCTGGTTAATAGGCAATGGTCCTGTCAGTTGGGTTTGAGTGTGGGATTCTTAAAACTCAGATGTGCTTACATGTGTGAGGAAAGCGAGTCTCCAACGGTGTTCAGGTCTAGATATGACCCCATTGCCTTTGTGTATGCAGAACTAGGCAGAGCGCCATGTTTCCTCTTCAAATAAGCACTTGCAACTTATCATAGAAAGCAGATAGCTTTGCCTGCCAACACTCCCATGGCAGTCTTAGGTTTCATTTTTAATTTGGTTCCCTGCATCTTCTCTACTTTAGAAAGAATGACTGGCTCCTATATATGGGGTCATTCTCAGTTTTGAGTGTGCTCCATTTTCTGTGGCGAGAGCACTGAGTCTTGAACATGCTAAATCTGTATGTGAATGTTTTATTATGCTCTCTCCTTTTTTTCTTACAGAGTTGTCTATCTTTGAATAGTTTCTCATTTACTGCTTAGTTTAAAAGTCATTTGCATTGAATTGCTTGAGATCACACATGAACTAGTTTAGCAAACAGTTTTTGCAATCTCATCTCTGCCAGAGATTTGGTTTTAATTGTTAAGGTAGCCAGACATATTTTCTGACTCAAGCATTTTAAAGAGAATTCTGCTAAGTTTTAAAATAGAACTGTACACCATCTCTTTATAACACAACAGAGTGTTTGCTATGCAATAACAAATGAGTAGAGTATAATACTTGTGAAGTGGTACAACTGAATTCTGTCCAAGAAAACTCCTCCATATGGTCCCTCCAGCTCGTAAGTTTGGCTGCAACCCTGAAGCATTCTCCTGGTTACTATGGCTGCTTATACACTTAAGTCCCATGGAGTTAAGAAAAAAATGCAGTAGAGTGAAAATTAGCTATATAGCGTGTTTTAATAGAGAGCACATGTGATTCATCCTGAATGTGTTAAGATTATATAGAAAATTTGTAAATTTTACTTGTGGTTTTGTGGGAGGATGTAAGGCTCATAGATTGCATGTTGACAAATGTAAAATGCTTGCAGTGAATCATAAAAGGCCTAAATGGTGCTTTTATTGTATTTCAGGGTTTTAAGCAAACATATCTGAAATCATAATGAAAGTCAAAGGGAAAAGATTATAGCTTAATGCATACTTTTTAACTTTACACATAGCTGGGGATGGCTTGTGATGCATAAAGTAAGATCAGTCTTTACTGAATTTACCAATTCTTCATCTGAAGACTCCTTAAATTAAGCCTGTTTGATTTCTCAACTGGATGCTGAAAGAGAATTAATGTTATTTCCCAAGCCAAATCAAGGTTTGATGCTCCGAAGCTTCCTTCATTCCTTTCCCCTTTCAGCATTTTCTTTCAGTTTGGGCCCTTTGCAGTGCCATTGAGAATGGAGCACGCTAAACTTTTCTCTCTTTAAACACACAAGATCTCTTCTTGCTTAAATGGTAATGAATAAATTACTTTCTGCAGCCTGACAGAAAGATGAATTGTTTAACACTTATTATGCAGGCATCTACTTAAAGCCCAGATTACAGTTCAATTCATATTTGATTCATAGAACTTGAAGTATTCATCCTCCCACCCCCATCTCCCCTTCAAGAAGGTCCTGGGACATCTTCCTGTTGTAACAAACAAGACATGACTCACGCCTCCTCATTCCTGTCTCCTGCCGGGGTCTCAGCAGTTAGGCAGCCAGGCAGCCAGAGACACGTGTGTGAGAAATAAGACTTAAGTTGGATGGATCAAATGCTTCTCAATTCCCTGGCCCACTGCTGTTCACACAACATAAACACAGTAATCATCTTCATATGCGAAATTAGGGAGTGGAAATGGGCTACCAGCCATCTAATGCAGAAATTTGCGGCATCAACAGTGAGCCTTATGTTGGGGAGAGGGAGTGGTGAGCAGGCAAATACTCTTCCTTGCAAAAAGCCCTGCTTTTTGAATGCATGGAATGATTGTGTTGTCCTCTCTGGGTACTGTGTAGAGGGCAGCTGGGGCTGGAGAACAGAAGAGAATTTTCTGTTTTAATTGGACAAGAGAGAAATCTTTTACAAAACAGAACCGTGGTGGTCTAGAAAATGCGGCTGTCTGCCTTCCGGAGAGTGTCTTGCCCAGCAGAGCCTCTTTGCATCCGTCAGCCCTGGCTTCAGAGCCAGGGCAGTGCCTGGCATTAGGGGATGATGGGCATGATTACCTAACACTGGCATCTTTCTCTTTTGGAAACTGCAACCAGGCTCCTAGAAGCAAGTCTAATAACTAGTGGGCAGATTTCAGGTGGTTTGGAGGAGCCCCGGCTTTAGGGATGTTTGGCAGCTGGGGAAGGAACAAGAGGGGCTCTCTTTTCACTGCAGGCCTCTGGAGCCCCAGGCACTATCTCTGCAGAGGTAGAGGCCTGCATCTAGCTAGAGTGGAGAAAGCATACTGTCTCAGTCTGCTCAGGCTGCTATGACAAAATACCATAGGTTGGTAGCCTAACAACAGACATTTATTTCTCACAGTTCTAGAAGCTGGGAACTCCAAGATCAAGGTGCTGGCAGATTTGGTTCCTGGTGAGGGCTCTCTTCCTGGCTTGCATATGGCCACCTTGTCACTGTGTCCTCACATGGGGAGGGGAGAGTGCCAGTTCTGATCACTTCCTCTTATTACAGGACGCAAATCCCATCATGGAGACTGTTTTAGTCTATTCTCATGCTGCTAATAAAAACATACCCAAGACTGGGTAATTTATAAAGGAAAGAGGTTTAATGGACTCACAGTTCCACATGGCTGGGGAAGCCTCACAATCATGGCAGAAGATGATGGAAGAGCAAAGGGGAGCAAAGGGATGTCTTACATGGCAGCAGGCAAGAGAGCTTGTGCAGGGGAGCTCCTGTTTATAAAACCATCAGATCTCTTGAGACTTATTCACTACCACGAGAACAATATGGGGGAAACCACCCTTATGATTCAATTATCTCCACCTGGCCCCACCCTTGACATGTGGGGATTATTACAATGCAAGATGACATTTGGGTGGGGACACAGCCAAGTCATATCAAAGTCCCTACTCTCATGACCACATCTCAATCTAATTACCTCCCAAGGGTCCCACCTCCAAATACCATCACATAGGGTATAGGGCTTCAGTCTTTGAATTTGAGGGACACAGCCCTTCAGTCCATAGCACACACACACCATCAGTAGTTCTTAGAGCCCTGTGTGGCTTCTCAGTTCTTTGCCTTTGCATGGGTTGTTTCCTGAGCTGAAAATACCATCATCTATCTTGCTCTCTTGGTAAACCTATGTTTTAAGATTCAGCTTTAGGAATCTTCAAAGCCCTTTCCAATCTTGGCTCCCCAGGTGAAGCATAAAGACCTCAGTGGATGTCTGCCTTGGCACCCACCACCCTCTTGGTGATGACATGCAAAGCTCAGGTGCCTCTGCTCCATCAGGCAAGTGATGTCAACTTCCTCTCAGTATCTCCAGAGCCTGGCCCTCCAGCAGCAGGCAGAGGTTAGCTGGATAAGTAAGTGAGGGCAGCAAGCATGGGATTAACAGCTGGAAAAAGTGGATTCACGTATTTGCAGCCAAACACCTGGCGTATAGAAGGCCATATCGCCTAGGCTTGTATAAGAACATTGTATGATGCTGACACAGTGATGAAAATGCCTAACAACAGATTTCTCCCGACGCAACCCCTTCATTAAGGGACACATGTCTACACTACTTACTGCTTGGTTCTCTGTCATATTCTAGTTATCAGTTTTCTGATTTGTGAAATTTAGGTAGTTGTAATTGTTACTTTGCAGGGCTATTGAAAGAATCCAGTTAAACTTCTGGGGAAGAAGAACTTTGCAAATGGTAACATTTGATTTAAATCTATCGGAAAGCTTTTGGGAAAATGCGCACATATACATAAATACTATGCATGTGTGCACTCCTCCTTTCTTCTACTTATGGGTCTTGAAGTCAAACAGAATTAATTTGGAAGTTGAACTGCAGTCTCTTCCTTAGCTATGTAATCTTTACTTATTAATTTTCTCATTTGTAAGATCAATAAAATAAATATAGGATTGTTGGTGAGGATGAAATAACAACATAGTGAAATTGCTTAGCACAGCACCTAGAACATAATGGATAGCTACAGATGCTCTTCCTTGAATCCCACACACATTCCACGGCCACCAGTGTGGACACAGTGCCCCTCTGACTGCCTCCCCACACTAACCTGACACACTCACGTCCATACCACTCATGTGGGCAAATGTGAACCACATGCATAGTTTGAGATTATCAATTACCTTTTCCCTAGCTGTCAGTCTTATCTCCCCACCTAGTGTGTAGGTTTCCAGAGCTGAGGCAAACCCCATTCTCACCCAGCACCAGGCTCTGCCCACAGTGAACACCCTCCTGTAAGTATTAGTTAGAGGAACACTCTTATTTGTAGTGCCTTGGCGTGGGATTTGGGAATTGCAGAGGGAATGAGTCCTACTTTTATGTGTTTGTTTTTGTTTTCACTTTAACTTTTATTTTAAGTTCAGGGGAGCATGCGCAGTACGTGCAGGTTTATTACATAGGTAAATGTGTGCCATGGTGGTTTGCTGCACGGATCATCCCATCACCCAGTATTAAGCCCAGCATCCATTAGCTATTCTTCCTGATGCTCTCCCTCCCCCCATCCCCTGCTCCAGCAGGCCTCGGTGAGTCTTAAGTTTTAGGCAACAGTGGTGGCTTCCCTGCAGTTCTTCCTTACCTTGCTCCATTGGAACAGCTCCTCCAAACCAAGCTCCACCCGCTCCTCTGCAAACCTGAACACGGAGGTGTAGGAGGAGCCTTCCCCAGCTGTGTCCTCTCATTTCCCATAGAGGGTTTCTCACTCATATACAGACATGAAACCTCCCTTTGTAACAGAAATACTCTGTGTGAGAGCTCAGGGAATCCTGGACGGTCAGTTTTGCTTTTATAAAAGACCTAAATCAGATTAACTTGGTAAAAACTTAAAGGTCCCTTTCCTTGTGCCCCAGAAATAGGTGCAACACTGGCCTCCCTCACACATCTCCACCCAAAAGGTCTCCCAGGACTTGGTTTGGGGTTTCTACCACCAGCGAGAGCAGGACTGGTGTTTGAGCAAAGGAAAGGCATCAACACATAGTCTGACAATGATTTTTTTCCTCAACTAGTGAATTGATACCTTTCTACGAAGAGTCTTGCTAGGGTATAAATAT
The DNA here is from genome assembly GCF_000001405.40 of Homo sapiens. Lineage (NCBI taxonomy): Eukaryota > Metazoa > Chordata > Mammalia > Primates > Hominidae > Homo > Homo sapiens. The sequence goes on along the minus strand of NC_000002.12, from coordinate 29,624,053 downwards.
CAAATCCCATATGTTACACATTACAAAGGAAATAAATACATGAGCAGAAATACAGTTTCAGCTTCATGTGTCTGTGTATGCATCAGGTAACTTAGTATTTAAACATTTTCATTCAAGACAATTCTGGAATATTTAAGCCACCAACTGTTGTAAACATGCTTTACAAATAGACGTTTGAAGAAAGACTTCTATATTATAAAATTTCTAAAATTTTTATTTCAAATATTGTTCTGTTATAAAGGTAGTATAAGCCCATTATAGAAATGTTGAAATATAGACTAAGAAATTCCTTTTCTTTTCACAACCTTAAAAAAGCGATAGCATTTGGTTGTTTTTCTTCTAAACTCTAGATGAATTTTATATCATTACAGTTAAGAACACAGTGTCTAGACACAGGCTGTCTTGGGTTTAAATTCAGACTCTATTACTTACCAGCTGTGCAGTTTAGGGAAAGTCACTTACTCTCTCTGTGCTTCTACCCCCATCATCTAGAAAATGGAGATGTGAATAGTACCTACCACATAGGATTGTTGTAAGAATTAAGAGTTCATGTAAAGTATTAAAGTGAGCTATCATTTTATTTCACATAATCATTATCATCCTGTCCATGTGTTTTATGTCATTTTCATTTAATGTTTTATCATAATTCTTTTCCACATTTGACACAGTTTCTTCTAGTGGTGATTTTTCACGGTTGCAAAACATTTTATCAGATTATAATTTAACTGTTTCTCTATTATTGGACATTTATGTTATTTCTAGGCATTTCTATTTTAAGTAACACTGCTATAAATACCATCATGAAGATCATTTTTTCATAGTTTACATTATTTCCTTAGGCTAGATTCCCAGAAGTGGAGTGCCAGGGTCAAAGTTGATAACATTGCCCATGATACACCTTGCCAATGGCTTTCCAAGAACCTTGAATCAATTTATATTTCCACCACAAAGTAGATGTGTGCTTCAACTGAGTTCTGTTGCTTTTTAATCAGCAAATTTAATGGTTAAAAAATTGTTCATTCACAATAAACATTGTTAGGAACCTCCTAGGTGCCAGGGACCGCGTCTCACATTGGGGTTGCCAAGATGGAGGTCATTGGTTCTGCCACGTTCTAGAGGAAGAAACTGGAAACCAAATGAACAATTCTAATCAGTGTGATTAGAGCAGTGAGGTGCAGGGGACCCTCACCTACTTTGGGAAGTCAGGAAGGCTTCCTGGAAGGGGCAGACTTGAGTTTAGTATTGAATGAAGAATGGTAGTTAACCAGGTAGAAAAGGGATGGAGGGTTGTTCCATACAAAGGGAAGAGCATGTGCAGAGGAGGGGTGAGGGGGCTGGCCCAACTGTGGAACTTCAAGGAACTGGGTATTGGTGTGTTGGAAGGAGGATTGAGAGATGCAGCTGGCACCAGGTCATACAGAGAAGCTGGGTTCTGTGTAAAGTTATGATTTTTCAAAGCTGCTTAATATGGTTTTGCTGTGTCCCCACCCAAATCTCAACTTAAATTGTATCTCCCAGAATTCCCATATGTTGTGGGAGGGACCCAGAGGGAGGTAAGTGAATCATGGGGACTGGTCTTTCCCGTGCTATTCTCGTGATAGTGAATAAGTCTCAGGAGATCTGATGGATTTAGGGCTTTCCACTTTTGCTTCTTTCTTATTTTCTCTTGCCGCTGCCATGTAAGAAGTGCCTTTTGCCTCCCATTATGATTCTGAGGCCTCACGAGCCATGTGGAACTGTAAGTCCAATTAAACCTCTTTTTCTTCCCAGTCTCGGATATGTCTTTATTAGCAGCGTGAAAACAGGCTAATACACTGCTTTTTATTTGTTGGTTGGTTGATTGGTAAGTTTTAATAATAAAAGCAGCCTCAGAAGAACCCTGCAAGAGAATTTCTGATGATATACGATCAGATTTACCAACTGGCTCACAGTATTAACTGTTAAATTAATTTAGCGGTATGGGTGTTCACTAAACCAAGCTAACCTGTAAACTAGCAGCATTGGTGCTTCACTAAATGAGGTTAGCCTGTACTGTGGCTCATCTGGCAGCATAGTGAGGTGGGCAAAGATGGTCTTCAAAGTCTCCCACCCACCCCACCTCATCCCTTTTTTGTTTTTCTGCTTCTTCTTATTCCCACCAGAGGCTTGGAGACCTGCCCTGCCCTTCCCAGTCCCTCTCTAAATAACCTCTCAACACCCTGGAAAAGGATGGTTGAGACAAACTCATTCGCACAATGATGCTGGCGATTGGTTAAGAGGTCCAGCCCTCACCTCTCCAGAAGCAATTGAATTCTTGAGGGGGTCACCTGGAGGATAGATATTCTTTCAACCCAAAGAGTCTCCAGTAGTGGAATTTCAGATCAGAAGGCCAGCAAGTAAAGAAGCTATTTAAGATCAAGTTGGGCAACAGTGCCTTCTTGGCCCCTTCCAGGGTCCCACATGATGAGACGTCTTTGTGCAATCCCAGATCTGAATGTCACCTTTTGTCCCACTGTCCAGGGTCAGCTTCAGCCCTAGGATTGCCTCCTTCATCTTGCCTTCTACATGGAGTGTGAAATCAGTGTCCTGGGATAAACTGTGCCTGACCATCAGCTTTTCCTAAAAGCTGGTCAGACTCAGGACAATGGCCAGAGGCTGGGAGGATGAGGGCTTCAGTGAAGTGGCCACAATTCCATCATTTCAAGGTTGCCTACTTTTCTAGCCCTGATTTAGAAAGGAAGAAAACAGATATCTTTTCTACCTTTGCAATAGCAAAACCACAACAACAAAAAAAGCGATGAACAATTCATCTAAGACAGTGTTGTTTTTTTTTTCTCACCTCAGAAAAACATTGTAATTCCTTCTCAGCAGATTTCCTAGATCTTAAATATCAGCTCAAACATTTATGCATGAAAAATTAGAGGCCATGAATGATGCATGTATTCTGGAAAGTCTGCCTGTGAATCTCTCCCCCTCCTTTGGAAAGTCCCAGGATGGCAGCCAAAGCCTCATTTCCAACCCCTATTTCAAAGCCACCTGAGATGAAATTTCCTATTTGTTTCCAACTCACTCACCCTTTGCATATTCAACTCTCCCTGGAGGCAGATAAGTCTGCTATTATCTTGTCTGAGATGTTGTTCTTTTACTTGACCAGATGATAGCACAATTGTCAGTTTGCTCTTTAATAATACTACTTCACAGGGGATTTGTAAAGATTAATGAAATTATGTTTGAAAACCACTTTGAATTTGTATGCGTTCTTTCTCCCGAGGCGCGGGGTTATTATTTCTTAGTGTTTATACTGTATCGCCCATGTAAGAAGTTTTAAATACTCTGCTAACATTTAGAACGGTTTAAGTTAGATGTGAAGCCATTGGCTATTAGAGCTGGAAGGGGTCCTACCCTCAAACTGAGGAGGTGAAGAGAAGTCTGCCGCCTGGAGTACAGGGCTGATTTACGTAGTGCCATGCAGCTGCTGAATGGCAGAGCCGGGTCTAGAATCCAGGGCCCCGACTCCGTGTTCGCATCTTCAGCTCCGTTATAGGTTAAATTGTGCCCACCCACCACCCCCCCACCCCGCAAAAAAAAAGAGAAAAGTATATGTTGAGGTCCTCACCCCCAGTACCTCATAATATGCTCTTATTTGAAAATAGGGTTGTTGCCAATGAAATTAGTTAAGATGTGGTCCTACTGGAGGAAGGTAGATCCTTATAAGAGGTGGAAATTTGGACACAGGCACACACAGAAAGAACACCGTGTGAACGTGAGGGAAGCCATCTGTAAACCAGGGAGAAGGGCCTGGAATGGATCCTTCCCTCACAGCCCTCTGAAGGAACCACCACCTTGATTTTGGACTTCCAGCATCCAGAACTGCCAGGCAACACCGTTGTGTTGTTTAAGCCCACCCAGTGAATGGGATTTCCTTACAGTAGCCCTAACAAACTCATACAAAGTTTTTCCTACTTTTAATACTAATTATTGCCACTTAGCAGATTAAGAGATTGAGGCATTACGAAAGGGGTCATTGGTCCAAGGCTGGAACGTCTACTGGAGAGCCAAGTAATGAACCCAGAAACCTGAGCTGCTTTTCTTCACTCTCCCTAGGCATCCCTCGGGGCTGCTAGAGTTGGGCAGCCCTAGCTCGATGCCCCTCACTGTGGGTATGGGCACCTGATGCAGCCCATAATGACATCCCAGTGCCCCAGGGGCTGCCTCCTGGCACCGCTCCATCCTTCCCATTGTCAGAAGGCAGCAGCAGGGCTGAGTGCGGGCAGCAGACCAGGGACCCTTGTCATGTATTGTTTGACAACCCAGGAGGGGTTTTAAATATAAATGGGTGGAGATAGCTTCTGAGGGTCTCTTTGTCAAGGAGGCATTGGATACACAGAATCCATTTTCCTGGGACACAGCATACGATCCATCGGGGCTAAGTTCTCAGTCCTGTCCACAAAGCCCGTGTAAGTCAGGGTGTTCCAGAAGCTGAGGGCCGGCAGTGCTGCTTGCTATTTGGGAAGTCGTCAGTGACACTGAAGAGGCCCTTTCAATGGTGTTGTCAGGGAGAGCAGAGAGAAGGAAGGCAACACCCTCAGCTCTGGCACCCACAGAAAAGGGGAGAAGGGAGAGGAGAGCTCGATCTGAGGGCTCACACGCTCAAAGAACAGGTATTGGTGGTTTATTTTCCACACTGGAGAAACTTGAGTACATTTGGAAATCAGGAAAGGAGCCAGCTCCGTGAAAGCACCAATGATACCCAAGGAGGCCTAGAGAGGTTAAGGCACATCTCAAGGCCATACTGGAAGTGAGAAATAGAGCAAAGACTCTTGCTTGCCAGTCCAGGGCTCTCCACTGTGCAAAGATCATCCCAACTTCCACCCATTGTTTCCAATGTCACAGATCACCCTTGTGATCAGTTACTTGGTACTATTGCAAGTCAGCTAGCTAAACTTAAATATTTAACCTCATCTAAAGCAATAACATCCACAAAATTATGGGTTTCTTGTGTTATATAATCATTTTCTTAATACTTATTTAATTAAATAAATACACAACTATTTTTCAAGTGTTTTTTTTTTTTATTTATTTTTTATTTATTTTTTGAGACGCAGTCTCGCTTTGTCGCCCAGGCTGTAGTGCAGTGGCGCAATCTCAGCTCACTGCAACCTCCGCCTCCCAGGTTCAAGGGATTCTTTTGCCTCAGCCTCCCAAGTAGCTGGGATTACAGGCGTGCGCCACCACCCCCAGCTAATTTTTGTATTTTTAGTAGAGATGGGGTTTCAGCATATTGGCCAGGCTGGTCTTGAACTCCTGACCTGGTAATCCACCTGCCTTGGCCTCCCAAAGTGCTAGGATTACAGGCATGAGCCACCGCACCTGGCCAAGTGTTTTTATTTTTTATTGGTTTTGCATATCACGGGTAGTAGCCACCTAGTCTGTAGCGTGGGCAGCTTTGCACCAGGGGTTAGGGAGGAGAGAATCAGAGTCAGGGACAGTGGCTTAGAATCCTAAAAATGGGGGTGTGGACATGTTGGGAGCACAGGGAGGGGACCCTCTCCCCACCAGTATAAGGGCAAGTAGGTTCAGGGACAGAGTGACATTGAAATGGAGGTGAAAGAAGATGACAGCACTCCTGCCCACTCACCTTAATTTGTCAACAAAAAAAAAAAAATGACAAACTGATGACAACTTGAAGGTAGCACCGAGTTTTAGATCTTAAATTAAAATTGTATTATAGTCATCTGACACTCAACCATTTTTGCCACAAAGCAGAGGTCAGTTGTTTCAGGAAAAAAAGTTGGACTTTGAACCTCAACTCTGGTACTTAAATCACAACTATAATTGCATCTGGATTGGATTTGGAGGTTGACCTTTGATCAGAAACATTGGTTTCCTAAGATGAGGCCTCTCCCTGACAAAAGGCTGGTTTGATTGCTTGGAACTGGAGTGAATGTTGGTCAGCACCTAAGAGCAGCTTCTAAAGGTCTGGCTTGACCCCTCCTTGGCAGCTCAACACATTGATCCTAAGGAAAGCTACGGAGGGATGTGCCAGGCAGACCCTGTGCTAGGCAGAACCCAAAGTACCTGCCTGGAGTCATCGTGCAAGGGCAGGTCTCCCAGCCCAACGGTGGTGCTAGAAGAGTCATCACAGGACTATGGGTGTGCTGCCTTCCCAACCAGGAACTAGGTAGAAAATTTCACTGTCTGTTGATCCCTGGGAGAGAGGAAAGATGATGGCAATAGTCACATGCACATACTGTTAGAGAAGTTATTCTGACACTTGTTAGAATGGCGAGGAAGACTTCATTCAAGACTGTTACAATGGGGCCACTGCAGTAGGGGAGATAGTAGGGAAGATAGTGCTCCCGATACAGCAAGGACAAGTGGGGTTTCATAGCTATGAAGCAGATGAGTGGGTCAAGGGAAGGGGGGTTTCTTGCTAAACTGGCTTAGCAGGATTGTTACTAAAACTGAGCTGACAGGACAGGGGCCAAAGTCAGGAGGAAGGCTCAGAGGAGCCTGAGACAGTCTTTGTCAGCACTGGGTGCTCACTAGGTGCTAGTCACTGGACTATATGCTCTGAAATGCAGTTATCACACCATCCCCTGAAGTAGGAAGGCTTATTTCAATGTGATAGAAGAGGAAACTAAGGTTTGCCCCTTGTCGAGGGCCTACAGATGATCAGATGGGAGATGTGGATTTGATTTCAGGGTCCTCTGATCGTCATGCACAAAGCTTTCCCACCACTAAATGATTCCTGATGCTTTGTGAGGAGCTCTCCTTCCTTCAGAGATGTTTGTAAAAGAGCAGAGGCTTCTGTGTCCAGAATGGTCAACACAGACAAGAAGTGGGGGGCTGTGTGGTGTAATTTCCTCATAGCTTTGACATCTAAAAGACCATCAGGATGGCTAAATAGTAGAAAGGAGAGCTTTATTGATGATATCAGTTTGCAAACCAAGAAGAGACAGTTTCCAGCATGGACCTAAGGTGCTTTCTTTTCAAAGAGGGGAAGGGTGGGCTGTGTTTTATGCCTCAGAAGGTCTGTGTCACATAGTAGATATTCACCAGGTGAATATCACTGTACATATTCACCAGGTGTGGAGGAAGGCCATACAAATTTATGAGGTGGGTCAAGCACATGCACAATGGACCAACACATAGGTAACAAACATCCCATGTTCACTTTGGGGCAGGGCTTTAGCATTAAAATGAGGTAGAATTTGGCTCTTTAGGGCAAAAGGTGAATGACAGGGCACAGTTTGCCTACAGTTTCTATGAGCTGCTGGAACTGGCTTAAGGGCTACAGATGCTTATCAGGAAAGAGTGTTTATAAGGCCAGTCCTCTGTCTATTCAGAGTTGTAGTGGTCTGGGTTGTAAGACAGAGTTAGGAGGAGTCTGATATTTTGCCTGATGGCTCCTACTGTTAGAAAGTTTAGGAAGGGTGTGATTTTTCTCTTAACTGTAAGAATTTCAGAGGTTGCCATGCTCACTGAGTCCAGAGCCCTCGCCAATAGATAATCTTTTCCCCTTAACCTTTGTGTCTGTCTTAGTTCATCAGGGGGCGTCTGTTTTGGTCTCTCAGATTACAAATTCTTCAGACGCCTTGATTCTCAAATTGTAAATCTTCCTTCCTCTTGCCACTGTGAGCTCTAAGCAAGTTCAAAACCTGAGCCTACATTTAATTCCTAGATAGGGAATTTGAGGGTTTGTTTTAGCAAACACGTCTGGTGGCTCTGCCCTTTTCCTCCCCTCTCTTTATTCACTGCTGATAATCCCTCCCCATCTTTCCAGGCTGTCCTTCCCTTAATCCTGCCAGTAGAAACCCTGACTATCTTCAAATCCCAACTCACAGGCCACCTCTTTCCCGAAAGCTCCTGGGGGTTCCAAGCAGGAGCTCCCTCTCCTGTGTCCTTTCTAATGCCCAGAGAGCTGTGGCCATACTCTGTCTCGTGACATAATATGCCTGGCTGTGACTCCGTGAGGTCCGCTGTAGAGATGTCGGCCTCACCAGAGCAGGGTCTGGGTCTCCCCATCCCTGACTTAATAAAATGGCTTTGAGTAGAAATCATTTAGGTGGGAGGGGCCCAGGCCCTGGCCTCTGCAGAGGAGATGCAGCCAAACACTAAATGAGATTCAGAGCTACTGAAAGGCCTGAGGGTTCCGAGGTGTCTACCTCATCCTCCTCAATATTAGCTAATTTGACTTCCTGGGGTGAAGTGCAAAAGGTATTCCTTGCAGCTCAAGCACTATTTGAAGCCTCCTATTAAAATAAACTGCCTTGGAGGGCACATTAAAACTGCAGAGAATCCTTCATTAGACCTACTGATATCAGCAAAAGTGCTGAGTACCTACTGTGTGCCATGGTGACGTGAGATTAGAAGAAAAGTGCAAAGATGAATAAGACCCAATCCCTGCTATGAAGGATCCTCCCAGTCAAGGATTGTGGGGTCAGTAGTGGGCACAGGGCAAATAGTATTGATAACAACAGTAACTATAAACTATAAGAAGAGCTCTGATAATAACGCTAAATGTATTGAAGCACTTACTATGAGTTCGACACTATCTCGAAGCACTTAACAGAATAAATGCGTTAGTGCTATAAGCCAATGAGCTAGGCATTATTGCTATCCTCATTTTTTAACAAGGGAACCACAGCACAGACAGGTTAAACCATTTGCCCAAAGTAAACAATTAGAGAAAGGTGGAGCTGGAATGTGACTCCAGACAGTCTGGTGCCAGAGCTTTGCACTAGAAGAACAGAAGAAAGAGGGGTTAGCTTTACCCTAGGACAAGAGTCAGGGGTGCGGGGGCTGTCCAGTGAAAATTTCACAAAGGAGGTGGCATGATATCTGGAAGAGTAAATATCATGTAACCAAGTAGGAAGGAGGAGAAGAGGGAACAGCATCCTTAAAGTCACAAGCAAGAGCATAGATACTCCAGGTCTTGTTAAAGAAAAGCATTGGCTGGGTGCGGTGGCTCAAGCCTGCAGGCCCAGTACTTCGGGAGGTTGGGGCAGGTGGATTGCTTGAGTTCAGGAGTTCAAGACCAGCCTGGGCAACATAGCAAGACTCTGTCTCTTAAAAAATGAATAAATAAAACTTAAAAAAATTATCCATGATACTTGTTAAAGAACTGTAAGGCAGAGTTTATTCCGGATGACTGCAACAGAGGTTTCACCATACGGGCTGGAGAATGTGCTCAACTCAGAATCCAACAAGAAAAAGTGGGAATTGATAGCCAAAAACCAGGGGAGGGGGAAGTTGTCTGTGTATAGAAAATTACTAAGAAGAAACATCAGGGATGGGGGGATTCTGGCCAAACTGACCCAACAGGAGCCATGCAGGCCAGGGTAATCAGACATGACCTGGGGGATGGTGAAGGATGGGAAATTCAATCAGATATGAAGAGTAGGGGATTCTGGCTAAATTGACGTGACAGGATTCTTGCTGAAATTGGGCTCGTGGAGGCCCTGCCCAAGCATGGGGCTTAGTGGGGCTCAGATGAGCCTGATTAATGTTTGGTCACAGACAGAATTCTTGTCGGTCTCCAGATCATTTGGAGTGGATGGAACATGCTGTCAGTCTACAGAGAGGGGAATCTTAGAGCAAGGAGCTAGGCTCAGCAAGCCTGGGAGGGCAGGGGCTGGAAAGTAGAGTGAAAGGAACTAACCGCAGAGCCTTTCACAGGGCCTACCATGGTTCTAGGCACTGGAAATAGGTGAAACTTTCAGTAGTGATGTGAGGATTATTCTACCTGTTGAGCAAACTGGACTTTCGAGAGGCGACATGATCCAGAGCTGGCAAGTGGCAGAGCTGGGATTGGAAGCCAGGTCCCACTGATGCCAGCGCCACTGGAACTAGCTGTAGGAGTTGATACTAAGGGTTCGGGAGGCAGGCAGCCCTCGTCAGCAGGCATCCGAGGACCCGAGAGAAGCAGGGCCATGGTCTAGGGAAAGGAGCCTGGGGAACGGTAGGGGGAGGTGAACTCTGCCCCAGCTCCTCCTCACTTTCTCTGAGTCCTGATGCCCCCGGTGAGTCTCCTGTCACACAAGGCTGTCTGGACAGGATCAGTGCTGATTGGAAGCAGGATGAGAGACGATGGCTTGGGTAGGAAACACTGGCTCCTGTTTCATTGCCCATTAGTCCCTGAGCTGTAGAACCCCCCCTTTTTCCTGACTTGCTGGGAGTGGATCTGTCTCTACTTAGCCAGAGGGAAAAGCAAGACCAGCTGAATCTGCAAAGCTAAGTAACCTGGTTACCACAGGGCAGGAGAAAATCAATCTTGATAATCACATCTGGCAGTATGTAAAGCCATTTTGTTCAGACAGTACAAATTCGTTTTATGGTATAAAATGCTGTGTATTTATTGTGAAGAAACACTGAACTCATCAGTGCTCTACCTAGTGTTTAAGATTTCCATTCCATGGAGAACAAGGTTTCACTTTCTTCATGAAAGAGATATAGATGTGTGAAGTGCTTGTGTACCTGTGTGACATACGCCCTGGCTAAAGACTGCATGTCAGCTGAGGTCCGCAACAAGGAAGAACAGTGCCCAAGCCATTGAACTGTGTTTCTATTGATACTTGTGTTTCCAAAGCTGATTTTTTAAAGGAAGGGCTTATGCCTTGGAAGGAAGAGTCAACATCTGAAAATGTTAGCTAATTTAATTTCCCGAAGAGAAATGCAAAAGGGATTGAGGTAGTTTATTATGTTAAATCTCAAATAAACCTGGACAATTAAAAATGGAAGGAAAGCCAAGACTAATTAAAAGGAGAAGAGAATGAGAAATGCCAGTCATCTGGGATAAATTGATTATTGCAGTTGAGCACTAAATTTAGCTCTCGGCTTCTTTGTGGCTCAGGCATTCGAAAAATAATTTGGGATAATAAAGTTTTTTAGGTTTATTTACAGAAAGCTACCAATGACCACAATCATGACAGAACACTTATGAGTAAACAATTAGTTTGGGGATTGAAATGTAAATAGGACTAGAATTCATGAATTTGTTCTCAACATTTTTCCTCTCTGACAAAACTCATGTTTGATATTGTGCCTTTGCTTTTGTACTCAGACCCCCCGTGGTGTGTGTATGCCTGGAGTGAGAGGAGGTCATGGTTCCTACTTTATTTTTTGTTTTGATTCCTTTCTTCCCAAACTGTTCTGGAATTGTTCTGAAGGTGTTATGTAGTCTGGAACTCTAAAATTCCGAAGGTACTACAGCAAGACAGGAGGGAAGACAGCATCACTGACTCCCTGCAGGATGGGCACAGCTGCCTCTTTCTGTCACCTCTTCACTGACATTAACAGTCCAGCACTTAATAAACATCCTGAAGCTCCCATTTTCCCATCCCCACTCCCAGCACCCCCTTCATGAGCTAAACTACCTGGAGATGTTGCCATCACAGACTCCTCAACAGGAGGGCGATCGTTCAGGGCTAGGGGCCAGGTGAAAAGAGAGAGAAGTTTCAGTAAGTTTTGGGGGAATTCGGGAGCATTGATTGGAAAGTGAATGACCTCAAGGGAGAACTCTCTTCTGGGTAGGACGGTTCCTCCTTAGCTGAGCATTAGTTGACCTCATGATCACTTTGGAAACAGAGAGAAATTGTCCATGTTTGAAGTAGAATTTCTACATTTATCTTCAGCATGGAACCCTGAAACGTAGAAATAACTCCAGGGATGATTGAAACCAAGGAAGCAGAGTAAAATGCAACCTACCAGGGACTTTAATAATCACCCAGATAAAGACTTTAAAAACAACACACACAGCTAAAAGCACAGGAGGGGAAGACGTGCAAATTATATTTAGAAAGGCTTAATTTTTTAAACTTTTTCATTTTCAAAATCAGAGATGCTATTAGCACACTACTGAGATGGCAACTGCAAAGGTATCTGTCTCAGAAGCACAAAGGCATTGAACAGGCCATTAACATTGAAGGCAGTGGGAGGGGGAAGGGAGGAAGCCTGGGTTCTGTTGCACACCCTGGTGTCAAGTCCCAAGTCGGCCACTTCCAGGCCCTGAGCTGGTGAGCGAGTCACCCTGTCTGGATCTGTTCCTATAAGGTGTTCCTGGCATTGATACCGTAGAGAAAGAACCTGTTTGTCTGTCTCTTTGTTTATTTATTGTATTAGTCTGTTTTCACACTGCTGTATATAAAGAACTACCCGAGACTGGTAATTTACGAAGAAAAAGGGTATATTTGACTCACAGCTCTGCAGGCTTCACAGGAAGCATGACTGCCAGACCTCAGGAAACTTACAATCATGGTGGATACAAAGGGGAAGCAAACACCTGTGGCAGGAGACAGAGAGATAGAGCGAAGGGGGAAGTGCCACACACCTTCAAACAACCAGATCTCCTGAGAGTTCACTCACTATCACAAGAACAGCAAGGGGGAAGGAAGCCCATGCCCACGATCCAATCACCTCCCACTAGGCCCCTCCCCCTAACTGTGGGGATTACATTTCAAGATGAGATTTGGGTGGGGACACAGAGCCAAGCCATATCATTTATTTATATAACCTCCTCTTTCCTTAAGGTAAGAGTTCAGATGGTTGACATAACCATTTCATGTAACTGTTAACAGCAAACAAACAAGCACACGGAAAGCCAGGGATTTAAAACTCTACCTATCTCACAGGGTTGTAGTGAGAATTATATGTACTGTTTATGAAAGTGTTTACTTTTTGATGGGCACATAGTAGATAGTAAATGTTTGCTGAGTCTGAAAATATGCTCCTACCAGCCTAAGGAGCTGATGCACTGTCGGTTCTGCCCACTTACCTTAAGGAGAGCCAGAGAAAGTTCTTCTCTGTAGCCTCCTTTCCCTTTGTGCTGTCCCACACCATCCACCCAAATAATGCCTATCACTCTGGCCAAGATGCTGTCTGTGGCTGTTCCCCTGCAGCCCAGCCATCCCTGGTGACTTCAGCATGGAACCCCCAAATCACATTTGATTCCCAGGGGTATCACATTTGGTCTGATGGGCAACATTCCCATGCCTGTCCCTCTCCCACACTCTTTTGGTGTTAGTGACCTAGGTCACATTAGAGAAACTTCTGTTCTACTTTTGGAGCCAAAGTCTGAGAAGTAGGCAACAAAGGGGATCTGGGAGAATCAATTAATGATCCCAGACACCTCTCATACATTTTTCAGTGGGGTCCTAGAGGAAGTACAGTGTCAGCAACTCCAGGCTGATTTCAGCATAAGTGAAATGTATTCAAGTGACAAAACTCACAAGCAGAACTAGGACATGATCTTATCCGGAGTCATTTTTTTAATTATTGTTGAGAAGCAGAATCTAGTTACAGAGAAATGATTTGATGCGGATGCCCAGACTCTAGCTGTAAAATGAGATACAGAGTAACATTTGTCCAGTGACCTTTTCCTTTCACAGGACAATTAATAGATCTTATTTTTGTAGAGCTATGATCTTGTCAGTTTAAATCCAACTTGCTGACCAAACTGGAGAGAAACCTTTGTCTCCAACAGACCAAGTTCTCCTATCTGCCGCTGCTTGGAATCGAGTTTGCTGGCTGGTGTGAGTGGAATTTCAGATTTATCAGGCCAGCCGTGGAGCAGAAATAATAAACATGGGATTCGAATGAAAGGAAAGCAGAAAGTAGAACTCATTTAAGACGAATGAAACCCTTTAAATGAAAGTGCATCTTTCTCAATAATAGAAATTCTAATGTTCTTGGAGCCATTATTATAATAGCTTTCTCTGGAGTATGCAATACATTAAGGAGTCCAAGTCAGAGCAAAGGACAAGCAGCCGGGAATCATTTGTCCACTGAGCCAACAGCAAGTCATCAGCCATCCATATGCCTTGGTTTCCCCATCCATACGCTGGTAATGGCAACTGTCGCTTGGTACTCCTGTTGCAGCATGTGAAATAACAAAGATTTACAAACATCTGTTTGCTTTAATAGCCAACAAAGTTATGCTGGTACTTATATCCAACATGAATGGACTAAATGCTCTTTTCTGGGTTCACAGGCCTACTGGAAGACCTGATAATTAAGTGAACGATGAGATTTACTCAAAATAGGTGTCAAGGACAAAACCAGGGCCAATGTGTGGAAGCTTTAGGGAGGTTGGTTTTATCTCAACCTAAGGAAAATTGTATGAGAGTAAATCTAGGCCAGGTGCAGTGGCTCATGCTCATAATCCCAGCACTTGGTGGGACTGCATTGGGAAGGTCACTTGAGGCCAGGAGTTCAAGACCAGCCTGGGCAACACAGTGAGATCTCATCCCTACAAAAGATTAAAACTAGCCAAGTGTGGTGGCTTGTGCCTGTAGTCCCAGCTACTCAGGAGGCTGAGGTGGGAGAATTGCTTGAGCCCAGAAGTTCAAAGCTATAGTGAGCTGTTATTGTGCTATTGCACTTCAACCTGGGTGACAGAGCAAGACCCTGTATCTGAAAAAAAAAAAAAAATGTAAATATGTTCTGTTGATAAAAAGCACCAAGTGAAGGTGACTCACATGTCACAGATGTTTCAGGGATCACTGCATTGGTGCAACATGGTGAGACAATATGCCATTTGAGATCCCATCCAAATCTAATATTCTGGATTCTAAAATTTTATTAATTTTGGATGTGTAGATGAGTGAGAGAAGACCTCTAAACAAAAGCTCTTAATATTTCTCTTCTGTGGGCCACCAGGATTGGGTAGAGTTGTCACAGAGCCCCTGCCTCTCCCGACTTGCTATCACATAATGAAATCTTCTCAGCATGGAAGGGCAGGCTTGCAACACTTTGGAATGGGCACCAGAGAGAGTGGACAAAAGAAAAAAAACCACACACAAAAAAACAACTATTCACCCAGATAAGGCACAGGCATTAAAAACTGGAAATAGTCTGGGCATGGTGGCTCACACCTGTAATCCCAGCACTCTGGGAGGCCGAGGCAGGCAGATTGTTTGAGGCCAGGAGTTCAAGACCAGGCTGGCCAATATGGTGAAACTCTATCTCTACTAAAAATACAAAACTTAGCCAGGCATGGTGGTGTGTGCCTGTCATCTCAGCTACTTGAGAGGCTGAGGCACAAGAATCACTGGAACCCAGCAGGTGGAGGTTGCAGTGAGCCAAGATCATGCCACTGCACCCAGCCTGAATGACAGAGCAAGACTCTGTCTCAAAACAAAACAAAACAAAACTGGAAATGGAATTATGAGAGACCAGCCAGTAGGTACTGGGACACCTCACAAACCACCCAAGATACCCAGCTCTTAACAGTCATACTGTGGAGAGCTGAGAAAGTTGCCTTAAATGTGAAGGGTAAATTTCTTTCCTGCTGCAGAAGTCCTCTGTCTAAGATTTATGCCTCAGGAGGGAATGGTGGCTATTTAAGGACAAACATCTTCTTGGTCACAACTGGTCATTAGGACGGTGGAAACATTATGATAGAAAGAGCCTGGTCTAGAGGTCAAGGAGCAAGCATCGTCCATTCAAAGTCAGTCTTCACTGAAAATCTCCATGACAGCAGAAATGGCGCCTATGTCCACACGGTTCATTACAGTGCCTGGAACTTAGGAGAGACTCAACAAATGACCAGGTGTCTGATGTCAGCTCTGCCACTAACAAGCCATGTGATTTAGGACAAGAAGACACAATCTTAGATCCATCAGCTATGAAATCATGATGAACTCTAGAACCCTATGTCAGACAACTCACACCTCTGTTCATCCATCCTAAAATATTTGCTGAGTGTCTACTATGTGTCTTGCAGGACTGTAGGCCCTGGAATTGCAGCCAAGAACAAAATATTCCCTGCCTTCATGAAGCATATGTTCTAGTGAGGGAAGACAGACAGCTAACAAATATAAGCAGATGTAGAGAATATATCAAATGGTAATAGGTGGTAGGAAGAAAAGAAAGCATGGCAAGGGAGCACTGGGAGGCAGGTGTGGCATGCGGGTGTTCTTTATACATATATTTATAGAGAGTTGTCAGAGAGAACCTCACTAATGTGATATTTGAGCAGAAACATGAAAGAAGTAAGCCACATGGATTTCTGGGGAGAGAGCATTCCAGACAAAGCAATAGAAATGTGGTTTACCTGTGTAACAAACTTGCACACATACCCCTAAACTTAAAATAAAAGCCTTTGTAAAAAAGAGATGCAATCACGATTATGTTGGCAAATTGCTGTAATTATTTTTATAAGACTTACTACAGGTGAAGGTCTACTGAGATTGAAAAAAAAAAGAAAGAAATGTGGGAGTTGCTAGCAGGTGCTTGGTATTAAAGCCACGAGACAGGATGAGATGACCAGAGAAAGTGTAGGTAAGAAAAAAATCATTCCAAGAAGGCTTTGAGGCATCCAACAGTCATAGGTCAAGGAGGTGAGAGGAACCCGTACAGTGGCTGAGAGGGAGGTAGAAGGAGAACTGAGAGAGTGGGGTCCCAGAAGCCAAGAGAAGAGATGCTTGGAAGAGGAAGGTCATTTTCTGTGTAGAATGCTGCAGATATTTTGACTGCAGCAGAAGCTGAGCCTTGACTATTGGTTTTAGCTATCTGGAGGTCATAATGACCTTGACAAGAGCCATTTCGGGGGAGTGGTGAGGGAGAAAGCCTGACTAGAGTGGGTTCAAGAGAGGATGGGAAGGAGATTGGAGGAAATGTATATTGACAGTGCTTTAGAGGAGTTCTATTGCAAATGTCAGCAGAAATGGGTGGGAGGTAGCTGGATAGGAATGTGATTTTCTTAAAGTAAAAGATGCTCTATTTCTATGCTTAGAGAGATGATCCAGTAAGGAGAGAAAGTATGATGACATTGGAGGGAAAATCCTCTGCCCGCTGCAGTTCTCCCCACTTCTGTTATTACCACGCCCGTCAAGGAGGAAAGCACTACTCGCCTCTCCTACCCTGGCTTAAGGGGAAACCACAGCCCTCCCTCAGATATCATCAGCAAAACTGTCACTAAACTTGAAAATCTAAGTAAGGCCTGTCTACAGGCTTAGAAAAAACAATAGAAAATCAATTCAAAGAACAGTAATAAGCAACAAGATTGGTGTTTCACTGCCTGTGCTCCCCATGCTCTGTGGAATGCTGATAGGTCAGGTGAGTTTAAGGACTGCTGAGTTAAAAAAAGGAAAGCAGATGCATGGCTGCAAGACTTCTTGGAGGCTTTAAAGGCTGGTGAGCACTGTGTATTTCTAAGAGGGGCAACTAGTGTGAGGATTTTTCCCACCACATTTGGGGAAGTATGACAGGGGACTAGTGTTGCAAGGCATACAATACAGGAAAGAGTGAACAAGATCAGGGGTTGGCAGACTTTTCTGTAGAGTCAGATACAAATATCTTAGATTTTGTGAGCCATTGTCTCTGTTGCAACTACTGAAGCCTGCCATTCTAGCACAAAAACAACCATAGACAATAGGTGAACAGATGGGCATGGCTTTGTTTCAATAAAACTTTATTTACAAAAACAGGCAATGGGCCAGATTAGGCCTGAAAGCCATAGTAGTTTGCCAACCATTGAACCAGATAATCTGCCTGAAGAGATGAGCTCATCTTCCTGCAGAGACACCCAGGTCTGTCCACAGGGATGCCAAGTTCCTACTTACCTCTCTTTGGCAGGGGCTATTTTTCTTTACCTTTCACTTAGGAGCACTCTCAAATACGCTTAAATTCTTTGCAATTTAGCACAAAGGTCTGAGACCTAGAATGGCCCATGTAGATCCCATTTCTTTTCTGGGGCCCTGCCCTTTTCCTCATGATTCACACCAGAGGTATCCAGCTTCTTTGCCATTTTTATAAAACTGTTTGGGTCCAAACTGAAAATAACTCTGAATCATCCAGATTGTGGCTTATCCAGTAGGCCTTTTGCTTAAGTGTACCTCCTCATTTCCTGATTTCTGTGAGGGAGACAGGGGAGGGGAAATGAAGTGAATGCCTGCCATGTTGGCTGCTTATTGTCCCTGTTGAAAGCTTTTGTGAAAAAATGAGTCTTGGAACCATAGCACATGAAGAGTGATTAGAAAATATTTGCCTATTGGATCTGAATAAAAGAGCACTTGTGAGGTTATGGGGAGGTGGCAGTGGGGGTGGGAGGTGGAAGGATGGTAGTGGGGCTTTTTCATGGAAAGGAAATGAAGATTTTTTTCTTTGGGACCCAAGGGATGGAACCAAGACCATCAGGTTGAACTTACAGGGAGCAAATTTCAGCTGATAAGCAGGAGTCACTTTGATTTTGTCAGAGGGGTGGGGAGGCAGCATTCCATGTGAGCCTTCAGGTAGAGGCTACAGAAGGAACACTCACAATTCAGATGTGCCAGTAAGCTGGTGCCTTCACTGGGTCTGCTCCAACCAAGTATCATATACTGGGTGGCTTAAACAACATACATTGATTTCTCATAGTTCTGGAGGCAAAGACATTCAAGATCAGGGTGCTCACATGGCCGGTTTCTGGTGAGGGCCTTCTTCCTGGCTCGTAGACGGCCACCTTCTTGCCAGGTGATCACGTGGAAGAAAGAGACAAAGCTCTGGTCTCCCTTTGTCTTCTTATAAAAACACTAATCCCATTATGAGGGCCCCACCTTTCGTGACTTCATCTAAGTCATCTATCTCCCAAAGGCCCCGCCTCCAAATGCTATCACACTGGGGGTTAGAATTTCAACCTATGAATTTTGAACATTTAGTCTATAGCAGTGGGATAACTTTTTAAGGCCCCTTTCAATCCTGGTCATTTATGACAGGCCTCCACAACCCCAAGGCCATGGACCGATACTGGTTCCTGTTAGGAATCGGGCCGCAGCAGCAGGAGGTGAGTAGCGAGCAAGGAAGCGTTACCACCTGAGCTCCACCTCCTGTCAGATCAGTGGTGGCATTAAATTCTCATAGAAGCGTGAACCCTATCGTGCACCGCACATTCAGGGGATTTAGTTGCACACTCCTTATGAGAACGTAATCGCTACCCACCCCCCTGTCCGTGGAAAAACTGTCTTCCACGAAACCGGTTCCTGATGCCAAAAAGGTAGGGGACTACTGACTTTTGAAACTGAAGTAATCCACTCAAGCATGGTTTTCTTTAGACTGTAGATTATTGCTTTCACATAGTGTCCTACTATTGCGCTGGCCCCCACTGTCATTAAATATCACCTATATTTATTGGCTGGAGTGAAATATGTCAGAATATCCCAACAGGAATGATTGAAGAGAGGATTCACCAACTTTTAAGAGACAAGAGTTAACACCAATGCCACCTTTGTATAGCTCTGGTTTGAGCAGGGTGAGCTGAAACAAGGCACTCTAATCCAGAGACAACTGTCTGCATAGGCTTGTGGCTTTGTTCCTGTGTCAGAGATGTGAGCAGAACAAAGCAAGATCTGAAAGAGCAATGTGGTGCCAGAACATGAAACTCCTAGGGTTGTTGCATTTTATAATGGAATGGAAACCAAACTCAACTTTGGCACAAACAGGACACATCAGACCTCTTTTCCCTTTTATCTTTTAAATGTCTTTTCTCAGGGAGGTGTTCAAAGTGGCTTTTAACAAAGCATCTTTTATCCCATGTCCTCAGGATATTTACCTATCCCAGATACCTAGAAAACCTGCTGAGGGGACCAGGTTAGATTCTGGGCCATGAGTTTTGCTGTCTTTGTTGCCAGTTTGGAGAAATTCAATAAGTAAAAACTCTGCAGGAGTTTGAAAGATCTGAGTGTAATCCCTGACACATGTGTGAACTTCAGCATGGCCCTTCTCTGCTTCTTTTTTCTGTTGTAACTACTCGACTCTGCCATTGTAACACGAAAGGGCCATAGACCATACGTAAATGAATGAACATGCCTGTCATCCAACAAAACCTTACTTATGAACACCGAAATTTGAATTTCACGTAATCCTCACGTCATAAAATATTCTCTTTTTGATTTCTTTCCAACAGTTAAAAACTGTAAAAAAAAAAAAAAAAAACTTCTCTATTCTCAGCTCTTGAGTTATACAAAAATAGGTAGTGGGCCAGATTTGATCTACAGATTGTAATTTGCCCACCCTGTGCTAGACCCTGAGTATACAGAGGTGACCACATTTAACTTGATCCTAGCCTTGTGGTACTTACTTATGGGAGAAGTGGATACTAAATAATTTGAAGAGTTTTTCATGTAATCACCAATTGCATAGGAAGGAAAAAAAAGGGTCTCATTAGGAATCATTACAGGAAAACATCGTTTAAATTGGAGAATTGGCAAGTCAAGTGGGTGCAAAGATTTAAGGATTTAGCCAGGAAAGAGTGGATAGAAAAGGAAGTATCCCAGGCATAGGGGGAATCATAAGCTCAAACTGATAAACTGAGGGATGGTTTCTATCCTTCATCACTGACCTACCAGTGCTTCAGGATGTTTCCAGAGAGACTGAATGGTGCTGAGCTTGCTGGGCCAAGTGTGAGGGATGAACTGGTAAACCAAAAACAAAATTCTGAGCCACCCAACCGACTGAATGCACCCCTCCCCTTGGCCAAGGGGGCTTCCAAGGAAGCCTAAAAAAAACTAGTTCAGACCATGATGGGAAGGAGGGGGTCAGTCATGCCTCATGATACTCTCCTTCCTTTGGAATGCAGGCACAACTAACTGGCATTAACATGAAAACAGAGACCTGAAGGCTGACAAAACAGACTCTTTGTAGTAATAAGATACTAACTTCCAGCCTGACTCTAGTGTAGCATCACATGACAGAGAGCAGGCCCTGAAAGAAATCCAAGTATTTTACCCCAAAATATATTTCTGTGACATATTTTGAAATGGACCTGCAGAGCTGTCTCTTGTGGGGGAAATTTACATTTGGTAGAGAATCCCCTTCCCTGTCTACGTATTTTTCTGATCCTGACAAGATTAGCTGAAACTCAGGTACCTTTTAAAGGTCTGAATAGGAAACATTTGCGATCTATTGCTTCTATGAGTGGCCACCTATGAGACTTCATCTTCATAATAAGAACCTTGGTCTCTGTAACCCCTTATCTTAACCCAGACGTGCCTTTCTATTGATTCCAAGTCTTTGGATAATAAATAACTTAACTCTGTCGACAAATTGCCAATCAGAAAATCTTTGAATCTACCTCTGACCTGCAAGCCCCCACTTCAAGTTGTCCTGCCTTTCCAGACAGAATCAATGTATATCTTACGTGTATTGATTGATGTCTTATGTCCCCTTAATATGTATGCCAACTAAGCTGTAGCCAACCACCTTGGGCACATGTTCTCAGGATCTCCTGAGGCTGTGTCACAGGTCATGGTCTTCACATCTGGCTCGGAATACAGTTTCAAATATTTTTATAGAACTTGGCTTTTTCATCAACAAACTCACCTCCAAATGTGGTAGCCTCTATTGTCCAGCTATAGTCCTTCCACCTTCTTTAGCATCATTATGTATTTTTGCAGAGGTTCAGGACTCTTTAACCTGATCTTTGTCATTGTTGTACCTCCCCTGAGGGAGGCAGGTGAGGGGTGGTGACATTATCAAGCAAACAGGACCCTCTGTGTCTGGTAGTCAGGCATTGTGGTTTCCAGATCTTGTTCTACCACCACCTTGTTAGGTAATGCTAGACACATCACTTAATCCTTGCTAAACTGGAAAATTAAGAGATTTTATATATTAAGAGTCTCCAAGCAGGTGGCCTGGTGGGACTCCAAGCCTCTTTAACCAGATCAGCCCTACTCATGTCTGTCTTATATATTAAAGAGTTCATTCAAAATAGGATTTCATAAAAAGCTCACTGGACTTGATGGTTTTTGGGTCCTCCCCAGGCCTGACCCTGCTGGGATTCTATGAGCAGAATCTCTTCTCCAAGCCTGTCCATGTTGGATCCTGAATATGTCTGGGGCCTCCCTGGGGCAAATGAGCCATAAGAGTGACCATCCAAGCTTGTTCTGTGAGAATAAGGACAAGTCAAGCCATTTTCCCCAGGAAAATGATAAATCCCATCCTGCTGGCAAAATATCAAGAAAAAAACAAAAATATATGATTCATATCGAGTTTGCTCAGCTTTCCGTTGCCTCAGTAGTGCCACAGGCAATTAGTAATATAAACTAGGTGTTAGCCTTTTAACCTCCCAGTAAATCTGCATCCAACCCTTGAGGCACTCACACCCTCAGGACACTGAGCTGGTAGAGTTCCTGTCCCCCGCCCCCACCTTCAGGTGTCCTCAGAGGCATGCCTGGGGCTCTCTATCTCTGTCCAGCTTGAACATGCTTCTCTCAGAGTTTCTATCTCCCCTAATCCAGATAGGCCAATGAGCTTCGGCCTCTGAGTCTGGTAAGGGGCATCCTGACAATGAATGCCAGGACGAGGTCTGGACCCTCTGCTGAATCTGCCCAGGTGCTGTTTCTGAGTTGCTTGAACCCGGCATCACTCCTCTGGATACACGCTGTACCCATTTGCATGACTTTCCTGCCTGCTTTTGTTTTTTCAGAGAACTCTTCCCACGGCTCACTTCACTCTATGGAACACTCAGAGAAGCTGAGTGAGCACCATAATTCTGCCCTGTCCTCTCTGGGTGGCCATGACACTGAAGAAAAAATCCACTGGTACTCTTGATGCTTCCACCAAGATTAATGGAGCCGTTAGTATCCAGGCCACAGTGTGCACCTGCTTCCCTTTGTTACAGCCCCGGCCCCTCCCCTGGAATCATGCCACAGCTCACAAAGTCTTCCATTCATATCCTTGCATTTGATACTCAAGATAACCCTAATACTTTAGGATAGGCAGAGGACACATGATTATCCCCTGTGAACACATGGGGAAACCGAGGCACCAGAATCAAGTCATTAAATAGGACTGGAGCTAGAACTCGTGCCCAATGTCTTGATAAGTATTAAATTAATATTTGTAAAGTATTAGAACCTGTCTAGGGGCTTGCTGCAACACTAGGCTCCTGCTCTCTTGCCCCTTCACTCCCTGATATTTCTGTATTGCTTTCAGAGGCCATTTGCCAAGCTGTGAATTGGCTAGTTTGAAACTTCTTCTAGAATGGGAATCAGAGAGCAAATTTCTCTGCATGTAGGCAGAGCTGTGTGAAAATGCAGTTCTGGTTATTTGGACTTCCAGAAAGGAATCATAAAATAGACTACCAACCCAATTCTGAAACCTTTAACCCAGTGTAGTTGGTGACCCAGCAGTCCTCACCTTTCCACCTAGGTGGGTGTCCCTCTGAGCTGGGCTGTTAAGAAATTTGCTGCTAACCCCCAGTAGAAATACTGAGCCCTTTCATGGTCCTCCAAGTTAAGCTGCCTATTTCCAGAAATACGGCCTGGGTTCCTTCCTACTCCTCCACCCACCAACCAACACCATACCTCTTCTACTGTTTATGCCCCAACTCTTAACGTGTCCCCAGACTGTCCTTTTGAATCATCTCAACCTATCTTTGGCTCCCACAAAGTTCAATCTGGCCTGAATCCTCTGAGCTCTCAGGGCCACCCCCACCATGCAATCGACACTGTACACAAACAGTCCTGAGCACGTGAGCAGCCCCCACGATATCAGCCTGAAACACTTGCATTGCCCATCTCCCAGCAGGCTTAGGATCTGTTTCTCTCATTTGCTTCTTCTCCAATGCCAGGAGCTACTTCTTTAACCTCAGCATTTTGTTTCCCACATAAACTATGATTTAATGTCTTCCTCTACTTCTTCAGCCTTCATTTCCAAAATTTCTATGTGTTTTCTCTTTGATAACCACCTCCTCTCATTCCATAATCACCTATTCTTTTCCATGGATGTTATTACGTCCTTTATCTCTTTGAGTAAAGATACTTGTTTAAGAGCCAATTTAATGTTACTCTATCAGCTCTGTTTCCCCATGTGACTTCTGTTTGTTGTCTGCCTTTTGTGGTGTTACTCTCCCACAGGCTTGAGAATTTTTGGTTTATGAGCTCATCTTCTGCCAGAAGCCACCATTCTGAATGTTCTGGGTGGTATCCCAGGAAAAACAGTCTTGGGGGGTCTTAGCCCTAGACTTGAGGGGAAGTGGTTCCCATTCAGGCTTGTGCTGGCCACTGGTCTGCCCCACGTGTGGATGGGTGATGTGGATCTGAGCTCTGTCCTCACCGGAGTGAGCTCTGGGCCCTTGTGTCACGTGAGTAGCAATTTCCTCACCTCGCCATGGGTAATCACATCACCCCCAATCTTAGGGAGATGGTAGGGGTGGGAACCACACAGCTTAGCTTTTCAACACCAGTGAGCATGGTGACCCAGCCCCCAGCCTCATGAGGGTGGTCTTGTCCTTACTACAGGCAAAGAGCATTGGCGTATTGCCCATTTGATGTTCCTTTTGTTTTCATGTTTTAGGGTTTAAGGAATCCCCATTTTGGTCTCATGAGATGTCTCTTTCTTGCTTTCAAGTATGGATATATATCTATTAACTCTTTTTACACTTAAATAGTTTTCTACCTTTGCCAGTGTTTGGTGTGGAAAAATGAAGTGTCAGCTTATGCTCAATTTTCTATCTTCAAGAAGAAACTCAAGTGTCTTCAAGTTCAAATTCTTCCCTTCTGGTCCAGGCAGGTCCCTGAAAATCTGCATTGTACTGCAGGCCCTGCAAACAAAGCCCTGGTCACACACATTCTTGTACCCCAAAAGCCAACTCATTCAACAGCTTCATTTAAAAGCCCCCTTGGTGCTTCACAATTCAAGCCTCCTCCCTTCCTTAAATATGACTCCACGTCCTCTATTAAGGAATTTTTCTGCTTAAAAACATGTTATGAAGTGAGAGAGTTGCCATCCTACTCCTGGCAGTTAGTTCCTCGTTGACTTTGAAACATTAAAAAGTACTTAAGAGCTCACATTTTTATTTTATCACATCTGGGATTGTGCCTTATACTAAGGATGTTCTTGGTACAGCACAGGCCTTCCAATTACATAGTACTCCTCTAGGACAGAGTGTAATGTGTTTTTTTTTTTTTTGCAGAGTCAGATATTTAAGTGAATTTTATTGTCAGGTTTGCTTTGTAGTCATTTTAAAACCAGCCACTGTTTCTTAAGCTACCTCAGAGGGTAACTTATCTATTGATGACACAGCTATATCATTTTACAGGGTTCCATACCACATAGCTTAAGTGCCTGGACATCGTTATTTTAAAGTAGAGGAAAAAAATTTTTTTTTTGGTTCATGCTTTTTTATGTGTCCTTTTACATGTACTTTTAAGTGTCCATATATTTTGTAACAGGGAACAAAAGAGATGGCTTAAGGTGCCTTGTAATATTTATTTTGTAATACAAATTATATGTTTATAATATTTATTTCTCTCAGTCATAAAAGCAATTCATGCCCATTATAGAATATTCATCAAATATACTAATGTATGAAATAAGAAAATAAAAATTTCTCATGCTCCCATCATCTCAAGGCTTTTAATCAATATTAATATTTTAGAGCATTTCCTTCCATTCTTTTTTCTATGCCCATCAGTATACATTATAGTATATATTCTGTAATTGAAATCTGATTATACATAGCTTTGTAGACCACCATTTTTCACTAAATGTCATGTACTATTAAAACCAGAGCCTGATGCCCTTTGCTCTCTAGACCCATGGCTGCCCTATTCCTACTTGCAAGACTGTGAAGCCATGAGCTTTCATGATGTCCCTAATAAAAACTGTTAGGATAAGAACAAGCTGTTTTAGGATCATGCCATGCCTTAGTGTCACCTCTAGGTTTCTATGCTGGGTTCTGTTACACTAGTCCATGTCAAAACAAACAAACAAACAAACAAACAAACAAAAAACAAACAACTAGTGTTCTCTTTTTAGAAGTACTCTCTGTACCGGGCATGGTGGCTCACGCCTGTAATCCCAGCACTTTGGGAGGCCGAGGTGGGTGGATCACCTGAGGTCAGGAGTTTGAGAGCAGCCTGGCCAACATGGTGAAACCTCGTCTCTACTAAAAATACAAAAATTAGCTGGCGTGGTGGCGCACACCTGTAATCCCAGCTACGCAGGAGGTGAGGCAGGAGAATCGCTTGAACCGAGGAGGCAGAGGTTGCAGTGAGCCAAGATCGCACCATTGCACTCCAGTCTGGGTGACCGAGTGATACTCTGACTCCAAAAAATAACAGTACTCTCTGAACCTCTGTTTTCCCCTCCACAAAGTGAGGAGCTAGAGCAGGTGACAAAACCCAAATGAAGAACAGCCACATTGGCCAGCCTCCCTTGGCAGATGCTGGCAGTGGCCCACACTCTCCTCAGGCACATGGGTGCTCTGCTCCTCTCCTCTGTACCCCTCTGCAGCCCTGCACCACACCCCAATATCCCTCCACCTGCCCCGCTATCTCCCTATTACCCTGGGGCCATTCTGTGTCTCCTCCCTTGGTGAAGAGGAGAGAACGCTCCAGGAGTCTTCAAGGTTTTAATTAAACATGACTCCAGCTAAGCAGCTGTACATATTAAAACTTTTATTAAAATCATGGCTAAGGTTCCACATTAATCAGGAAGCCACATCTTTCCTAAATGGACAAAATTGCTGGTTAGATCACCAAAACCAGTTGAGACCTCTTAGTTGTCAGGTTTTTTCTTCCCTAATGCAAAATCCATATGAGTCACCTTTCCTGTTAGGAATTAATACATTTATTAATATTTGATTGGTTATGTGATTTTAAGAAAAGGGCACTGGGCTTTGTGGAGGAATTTCTGAGGACTCCATGGCAAATGGAACAACTCGGCACCAAATTAGTGGCGTTGGTTCATATTCTTCTTTGATTTATCATCTTTTCCATGCTTTGAAGCACAACAGATATGATGGGTTTGAGAGTGAGCACTAAATCTCCACTCCCTCGCTACTCTGTTGACAGTAGCTATTTAAGAGAAGCCTGATTTGTGAGGCTGACCAGGCCTGCTGCCCACCTCTGTCACTGCCCGTCAGGGGATTGGATTTCCAACAGACTTTCCCTTTCCTTCCAATCTCCTCCACCCACTTTTAATAATAGGCTCATATTTCCCAGGTACTTTCCTGTGGCCTTAAAGAATGCGGTTGCCTTTGTCTTATTCTCAGCCTCTGAGGGAGTGCTATTTTTTTTGTGTCTGTTTCAAAGTGGGGGATGCTTAGAGATCTAGGTATTGACTGGCCCACAGTCACACCAACTAAAGACCCAGCAGCCGAGACTAGAATATCCCCTCTGGGGAGGAATTCAGTATCAGGCAAAGTTTGGTTGGACCCCTCCACAAAGGGCAATGATGAAAGACTTCATGGACCACTTTAAGAGGGCAGACCTCATTCAAGACATAGCAAGCAGTCTGCAGTCCACAGAGTTACCAGGAGGCTCCCCACATGGTCTCAGTTCTTCTTATAGAAGTAGGGACGTGCCCTGGCCTGCCAGGGGAATTCTCAAGTGGCCAGAGCCCTTGCCACCATGCCAACGCTCTTGTAGAGTCTATTTTATCAAAGGCTATTTTGCTTCCAGTCCCTTTCAGTTAGGACTCTCCACTGGGTTTTATGATCAAGTCATAAATCCTCAGTGCCACTCAAGGCCCTCAGAATCTGGCCCTGCTCACCTCTCTAGCTTCCCCTTTCCTCTCTCCACACACCCCTACCTGCCCCTTGCAGCCATTCTGAATCTCTATTGTTTCTTAAGGTGTCTTTACTCTCCTCACCTTCTAGTCTTCTGACAAATCACTCTCTCTTCAGGGAACACTATCAGGGAAGGAAAGATGGTTTGGGGAAAGAGAGGGTGATTTGTTTTGGACATGTTGAGTGAAGGTGGCAGCAACACATTTAGGATGTCTGTATACTACTTAGAAGATAGGATATGGGAGAAACAAGATATTGGGACTTAAGCTGTGAACCCCAGAGTCATTTTCACAGACAGGGCAATTGAAGCTGTCAATAGGAATATAGGGAGAAGTGTGCAGGACCTAAAAACAGAGCCTCTATTTGGGTTAGGGAAAGAAAAATCTGGCCAAAGGATATGGTAGAGGTAGGTTTAACTGAAGGAGATCAGAGGTGAGAGGTAAGTCACAAACGTGTGCAATTGAAAGTTAGGGAGAGGAGCTAACATTTGTTGAGTGTGGAGTAGGCACCAGCCCTGTATTAGGTGATGTATGTACATGTGGTCTGGGCTCCTGGGATCTAAGTGGACACTCGTTTACTCTCACTTCTTAAACATGGCCCCAGCCTCATTTTCTCATTATCAAGCCAGCTTGCCGCTACTGGAGCACGACACCTTATCTTCGTCCAGAGTTCATTCCTATCAGTGTCCAGGGTTCTTCTGCTTTTTCCCTTCAGTCCTGGAATTCTCTCAGCTTCAGAAAACTTATTCCCTGTGCCTCCCCTTCTGAGCTACCACTTTATCCCAACAGACTTGTTTCATTGGCTTACTTAGTTTTAAAATTTGTAAAATTCTTCCTTTCATTGAAAATGTTTTGTTTTCTCTCTCCGTCTTCCTCTCTGTTCCCCCTACTCCCATGTGTTTTTATTGAGAGGAGCTCTTTAAGAATGTGACCACATCACAGATCAATCTCAAACTCCAATAAGACGGCTGGGCGCGGCGGCTCACGCCTGTAATTTCAGCACTTTGGGAGGCCGAGGCGGGCGGATCATGAGGTCAGGAAATCGAGACCATCCTGCCTAACACGGTGAAACCCCGTCTATACTAAAAATACAAAAAATTAGCCGGGCGTGGTGGTGGGCGCCTGTAGTCCCAGTTACTCGGGAGGCTGAGGCAGGACAATGGCGTGAACCCGGGAGGCAGAGCTTGCAGTGAGCCGAGATCGTGCAGCTGGACCCCAGCCTGGGTGACAGCGAGACTCTGTCTCAAAAAAAAAAAAAAAAAAAAATCCAGTAAGACAGCAGATCTCAGTGAAGAAACCACTGTCTGTGTCTCTGCTTCCACCTGGGATCACTCTGAAACCATGTGCGACTTTAGCAAAAGTGTGTTTGTTTTCAAATATCTGAAGAAGAAGAAAAAAAGTAGAAAATAATCTTAATATTTCCTAATATTGAGATATTAAGCTGTGTGTAATGCAAATATTCAAATATTCGTCTACTTGGCATCACAATGAAAAGACATCTGGGAGGAGGATTGATTTTCACTTTTCATTCAGATGTTTTTAATCGTGTAAAAAGATATTTAGACGCATGACTTCCTTTCCATTTAAAATTATTTCTTGTAAATAATCTATTCCTTCTGTTCCTTCCTTTTGCATTTTTATCAGATACTTCATTTATTTCAACCTTCTTTGCCCCCCGCCCCCCACCCCCCATTTTTGTTTAGAAAAATAGAGGTCTCAGCTTCACTGCATTCTTTTGAAAGAAGTGAGAAAGAGAAGAGAACCCCCACACACACCCCTATAGCCACACTATACCCATTTCTCCAGTAGTGAGCTAGGGCATGTTTAACAACTGGCTCTTCAAAAAAGTGAGGAGACTTGGCTGGGTGCAGTGGCTCACACCTGTAATCCCAGCACTTTCGGAGGCCCAGGTGGATGGATCATGAGGTCAGGAATTCGAGACCAGCCTGACCAACATGGTGAAACCCCGTGTCTACTAAAAACACAAAAATTAGCCAAGCATGGTAGTGCACACCTGTAATTCTAGCTACTCAGGAGGCGGAGGCAGGAGAATCGCTTGAACCCGGGAGGCAGAGATTGCAGTGAGCCGAGATTGTGCCACTACACTCCAGCCTGGGTGACAGAGCAAAACTCCATCTCAAAAAAAAAAAAAAAAAAAAGTGAGGAGACCTTATTTGTACTGTTTGTCTATACTCATAGTGTAAATGTTGCCACCATGGCCACTTTAAGCTACTGACGTGATTTTACCGAATGTGGAGTTGGGAAGAGATACACAGCTCACACCCTTATATAGTATTTCCACCATACAGACACAATATGCATGTAAATACCTAACCTCAAAAACATAGATACTAGTAAATAGTTGGAAAGTGATGAGTTTTGAGTGATTTATTACCTTTATAAAATATAATGTAGTTAATTCAGAATTTTTCAACATTACTACTGTTGACATTTTGGGCAGGATAATTCTTTGTTTTGGGGGGTCTGCCTTGTGATTATAGGATGTTTAGCAGAATCTCTGGCCTCTACCCACTAGATACTAGTAAAATCCTCAGTTGTAAAAACCAAGAAAACCTCTCCAGATATTGCCAAATGTCCCATGGAGTACAAAATCACCCCCAGTGAGAAGCACTGATTTAATTGTAAGTTCGCATATTTTAATAATGGCTGTATTTAACAATCTTCTTTCAAAGTTCCTGAAAATGTCACAATCAACTTTAAAAGCTGGTACTGTCAGCTTCAGCTCAACACTCACAGCATTGACTATAGAGAAGCTTGTCCTAAGAATACACTGGTTTGCCATAGTCACATAGGATATCAGAGGAAGTAAAAAGAGCAAGATTCTGCTATACTTCTGAACTTTTTGGTTTCTACATTTAATGACTGTGTTCATCACATCCCTAAATGCAGAGTGACATCTTTCTTTCACTGTGTTTTGGTTTTCTTTGAATTAAAGAATGCTTGGCTAACGGCCAATATTCTTCTCAGGTGCATAGCCCTAGAGTTCCCTCTAAGGTGACTGTGATTTTCTGCTCTGTCAGAGTTGGGGACCTCCTGTAGGTCCTTAGGAGCTTTCTGGAAACAAGTTTTGCAGTGGGAAATACAGGGTATAGAATGAAAGGGGACAGGGTCTCTAAGGCAGTGTCAGGTAGTGATCCCGGTGAAGAGGGGTCAATTCCCTCATTCTCAGGGAAACTACGTCCTAGGGTGAGAAATCCTAGTCTGCCTGCATCTCTTCACTCCCTGTTTCTCCATAGGCAATGGTCGAGCCTTTAAGATACTGGAAATCATCTCCAGCCATCCCTCTTCTGGGACTTTTCTGACCTCCTGACATCCTTATCCTTTGTTCCCACAAAATCCCCAAGGCCCCTTCACAGACCAATGTTACGTTGGCTTCATCCAAAGCTCTCACCCCACATGCCAGCCAGGCACTGGCGTAACGTAACCTGTGGACTCATTTGTCTGAACTCGTGAGGCCCAGTCCATACCCCTCTGTCCAATGTATGGCAACAGAAGATATTCTGATATTGGTGGTATTTGCTTCAGGCCATGTGCTAGTTTCTTAGGGCTGCCACAACAAATGACCGCAAACTGGGTGGCTTAAAACAGCAGAAATGTATTATCTCGCAGCTCTGGAGGCCAGCGTCAAGTTGCAGCGGGGCCATTCTCCCTCCCAAGACTCCAGGGAGAATTCATTCTTGCCTCTTCCAGTTCTGGTGGTTCCTGGAGCTCCTTGACTTGCAGAAGGACTCCAAGCTCCTTCCTCATATGTATGTCTTCCCTGGGTCTCAAATCTCTTCTCCTGCCTCTCTTTGGATTTACAGTCCATGTAAGCTTAATTACATCTGCAAAGACGCTGTTACCACACAAGGTCTCCCTTGCAGGTACCAGCGGTTAGGACTAGTACATATCTTTCTGAGGGACACTGTTTAACACACTATAGGGATATTAGGAGAAGGGTTATTTCTCTAGTTTCATAAGTTATTCAACTTATCTGACCTCCCAACATGAAAACTAGCCAGGAAGTGAGGAGAAGGAGGCTTTGTGGCCTCCAGCATCCCTCTTCCCAGGTAGAGGGAAAGAATAAACAACTCTTTCACTCCCTTCTCCCACCAAGTTTGTGCCCCAAGAGCTCAGGCGAGAGGGATACTTTGCAACTCCAAGCAGCCTGCTTGAGCCAGCATGGACTAAGGAGCAGAGAGGGCTGGTGTGGTCAGCTCAGGCCTGATCTGAGAGAAGCAGAGAGCTGGACCCCAGAGCACACAGGGCTTTGTGACCAGCTCCTCGGAGTGGCAATGAGTCAGGTGATGTGGCTGGGTCTCAGGCTAGGGTGGGCCTGGTGGTATTCCAGGAACAAAGGATGAGGATTAAGAGGAATATGAGAGTCAGACCCGCAGGGAGCAGAAAGGTGCTCTGGGACCCGCTGAGTACCCCAGAAGCCATCAGCTGCTGGCGACTCAGGGTCCTGCCACTGCCCAACTCTCACTCCATCCCCCAGGCCCCTCCGGAAGCACTGTCATCTGGATTTTGGGGAGCTGGTTCTCCAGTGACAATACCCCCAGCCTTCAATGTGGGTAGCCTTGACTTTGTACCTGAGATAGAGAGTGATCTTAAGATTGGCAACAAGGGATCTCAAGCCGAAAAGAATAAAGACGGACTCATGAGAAAGACGACAGAAAGAGTAAAACCCAGAATGAACTCAGGTGCTGAAAGATGCCAGTGACGGCCCAGAAGGTCTGTCTCAGCTCTGACGACACCGAGAATTAGAGGGCGCTTCTGCCACTCAGGGATGATGATGTAATCTACGTGACCAGGACTTCATACGTTGATTATTTTTGTAAAAACTTTCTTTTTCCTTCCTTGTCTTACCAGGCCCCCTCTCTCCTTTCATTTCTCTCTCGTTGTTAGCCCTGCTGTCACTCCTTGCCTCCCTCTTCTCTCTGACCTTTAGTGAGAAAAATTCAAAATGCCATCTTAGAGCTCTATGTTTATTTCCATCTCTTTAAATTCTGGCAGAGCCCAGCCTTCACCTGGGCTCCTCTGACGTTTTATATTCTTCCCTCTTTTTAGTCATCAGCCTTAATGTTTCACGGCCCTGGGGTGTGACTGGGGAGGTGGCCATGCCCACTTGCCTACGTCCAGCCCTCTGTCTTGCTTTCGGTGCTTCCCTTGTTTACCATCCTGGCTGTGGCTGCCCGGATGCTTCCAAAAGCCAAGTAGTCTTTAAGATCCCAAATTCAAGAGCAGCTTTAAATCTTTGAACTTCTTTCCAGGGACTAAAAGGAAAGAATGAAGAATTTAGTTCGTCAGAATGAGGAAGTCTGAAGGACCTGATAAATGAAATTGGTTTAGACAGAACTGGTGTTTTGTTTTAATATGGGGGTACTGTGTTGAAGAAAAAAAAATTATTCCATGATTCTTGCTGAAGCATGGTAAGACTTCGTTCAGGACCATCATGATAGGGAAAGGGGCCACTGCAGTGGGATTTTTTTTTTTTTTTTTTTTTTTTTTTTTTGAGACGGAGTCTCGCTGTGTCTCCCAGGTTGGAGTGCGGTGGCGCGATCTCGGCTCACTGCAAGCTCCGCCTCCCAGGTTCATGCCATTCTCCTGCCTCAGCCTCCCAAGTAGCTGGGACTACAGGCGCCCGCCAACACGCCCGGCTAATTTTTTGTATTTTTAGTAGAAACGGGGTTTCACCGTGTTAGCCAAGATGGTCTCGATCTCCTGACCTCGTGATCCGCCCGTCTCGGCCTCCCAAAGTGCTAGGATTACAGGCGTGAGCCACCGCGCCCGGCCTGCAGTGGGATTTTTGCAGGGAGGGAGAGAGATGAGGCTCAACTCCAAATATAGCATGAGCAGGTGGGAATACATAGCCAAGAAGCAGGATGGGGGTAAGAGGATGGAAAATTCCAAGGAGGAAACATCACGGGTAATGGGGGGATTCTGGCTAAAGTGACCTCACAGGATTCTTGCTGAAGACAGGCCAAGATGATCAGTTATTACCTGGGGCCTGGTGGAAGATGAGAAACCTTATCAGATATCTAGGGTGGAGGGTTTTTGCTGAACTGACTTAGCAAGTTTCTTAATAACACTGGGTTTTATAAACGAGGACACAGACGTGCCTAGGAGAAGGTTCAGGAACCTCACTAAAGTTTAATCTGGCAAAAAATCTTTGTCAACTGAACGTGAACTTGAGTTTGAAGGTAAAAAATTTTTTTAACCTTTAAAAATGGTCAACTGAAAACAAGCCGCGGAACCATGCATGATTTGGGTAGACCGTTGTAGAGTAATTAATGCAATACAAATTAGTGACCCGTTTTCAATCAATTAAAATATAATAAAGCTACCAATAACACTATGTTCAGAAGAATGTTCAGAGAAATTAAATAGTTGCGTGATTAGGAATTTATTTGTTCTTCTTAGTGTGCCTCTGGAAGAATTATGCATATCCGTTCCCATGGCCCTGGAGATGTATTCAAGTGTTGGCTGGTGGAGAAGTTCATTTGATGACAAGCCAGACAAACTAGCTTTGGCTGTGGGTGGGCAGTGTCCCAGGGGTGACTTTCCCCTAATATGCTCAATAGTTTCTTATTCCCTGGCACACAGAGAGCTTGACACAATGACCTCCAAAGCCCTTTTAGAATGGCAATTTGACAAGCGTGCTAGAGGGGACTTCACTGTTTACTTTCCTTTCTGCCAAAGTGCTTCCACCTGGCACAGGGATACCCACTCCCTTGGCAGCTGATTCTGACTTATGAAAGTACTTTATGCCAGGTCTCTAAATGTTCATTAGATTCTTTTGATCTAGGTAATAGCATTCTGAAAATACAGTTACTCATCCATAAAATGGGGATAGTGTAACTTCCCGAGCTGTAACCATGAACGAGAAGGCCCCAACTCTATACAATAGCAGTGGAGTTAGCCAATGATTTTGGATATTGTTGTCCGGTCAGAGCCTAAAGACAGCAGGCTGTGAGTGTTTGAGGTTTCTCTGAGTGTGTCATAGCAAACCCTGCAAATTTTGGGACCCAAAAGACCTGCCTTATGGTTCTAGCTCTGCTGTTCATAAGCTGTACAAACTTGAGGAAGCTTGTTGGTCTCTCTGCCCTCGATTTCATCACTGTACAAACTCAGGACCACCACACTTTTCCTGAACCTGTCCTTGCAGGGTTGTTGTGAAGATTTTTCCCCATGAGGTAGGACTAGAGATCCTCCAACTTCTCCTGTCACGGGTCACACAGCTCTGGTATATTCACGGCAATTTGTCCTGCCTGTGACCCTCACCTGTTAGTCATCTTGCAGCAGACCCCATCTCCTACCTGGAGAAGGCAAATGCAAGTGAGGGAGAATAGCATTATTATAGCAACAGCATCAAATCTTCTCTAACTTATAAACAGGCATAAATCACCTGCAAGCTTTGGTAGTTTATTATCAGTAGCAAATTACTTATGATACATCTCACCTATCATCGCTTGCTCGGTGGTTGAACGCTGCAGAGATGATAAGGTTTCTCCCACCTCTAAAGCTCTCAGACCTCATGTGTGTGTTCAGGCTATATAAATGTAAATGTTGTTGATGATGATGATACCCAATGTATGCAGAGAACCAGCCCCCGGAGGGGAGCGAGGGGCTTGTTCACCAGTACCCAATGCATTCAGTAAGGTGCTGAAACAGCACAAGGCAGCTACAATTTGCAGGCCTTGTCTGGCCCGCAAGTTAAGAATGGTTTTTACATTTTAAATGGTGGAAAAACAGTCAAAAGAAGAAAACTATTTTGTGACACATGAACATTATATGAAATTCAAATGTCTGTGACCATAAATGAAGTTTAGTTAGGAAATAGCCAAACTCATTTGCTTACATATTGTCTGTGGCCACCTTCTCCACAATGGCAAAGTTAAGTAGTTGCAACAAAGCCTGTCTGTCTCACAAAGCATAAAATATTTACTATCTGGTCCTTTATAGAAAAAGTTTGCTAACCTCTGGGATAGCATGTGACTCACCTTACCACAATCCCCAAATCTAGAGACAAAAAGAGAGCTTAATTTCTTTCTCGGCCAGGTGCGGTGGCTCATGTCTGTAATCTCAACACTTTGGGAGGCCAAGGAGGGTGGATCGCTTGATGTCAGGAGTTCGAAACCAGCCTGACCAACATGGCAAAACCCCATCTCTACTAAAAATACAAAAATTAGCCAGGCATGGTGGTGGGTGCCTGTAATCCCAGCTACTCGGGAGGCTGAGACGCAAGAATCGCTTGAACCTGGTGGGTGGGGGTTGCAATGAGCTGAGATGTGCCACTTCACTTCAGCCTGGGCGACAGAGTGAGACTCTATCTCAAAAATAAAAATAAAAATAAAAAATTTTTCTCTCATCTCTTTTTCCATGAATAGCTAGGATAATGTATAATTTATGGTCTCAGTGGAGACGTTCTTGAGAGTGAAAGGGGTCACTGCATAAACGGACACAGTCCCAGAAAAGCTGGGATGCAAGATCAATCTACTTAAAATCCTTAGTGATAGCAAAGCAAAGTAAATCTGTCCAGGATGGGGACAGAAATTCCTGTTGGCCCAAACTCTGATGATGCATTCTCTGGCTTCCTGAACTAGAAGAGGCATGTCTTGGCCCAAGAACCAAGAGGAGGGTTAGATGCAGGGAAAGTTGGCCTTCCACATGCTACAGAGCTCTACTCTACCCACCTCTTTCCCCTGAACCAGGCCTTCACTGTTAAATCAATATTTTGATATTTCTATATGTTGTTGCTTTTAGAGGGATAAGCTACATTTTTTTAATTTTTATTTTTAGCTCATAAAATATTGAATACAACATAAACACAGTCTCTCATCTTTATTTGTTTTTGGAAGTTTACTAAAACTCTCCCCTCACCCGGGCTCTTGTTATCTGTATGGGAGATCAGGATCGAAAGAAGTCAAAGGAAGAAGTGAAGCTATGGACAGTTATGCATTTTCTATAAAACCAAATGCAAAATGCTAAGTATTAGCTCCAGGCGAATGAGTTGACACATTAGCATGTGACTTGAACTAAAAAGAGAAGGGTTTTTTAGGGGCCTGGACCTTTGGATCCTCCAACTAGTTCACCTCAGGGGGGAAAACAAAAATTTTGATTTACTCTTGTAGGGGCAGAAGAAGAAGTGATCTCTCAGAATAGCAAAGGCTATTTCACCTTGAGCTTTATACTTCTTTGTGAAATCAATGCTTTTGAGTTGTGCTTAAAAATAAGCTTACAGCCTATGCCAGTCATGAAAGACAGATGTTATTTGTATGGGAGATCAGGACTGAAAGAAGTCAAAGGAAGAAGTGAAGCTGCTTGAAAGACATCAGGCAATAGCCAGGAATCTCAGATCTGCTGCACCAGAAGACCAGGGACTTGGTGTCTGTGCCCAAGTCTAAAACATGAGAATATCCTACCCCTCCCCCAAGGGGAAATATATTAGCATCCCTCCAGTTGCCCTGGGGAGTAGTCTAACTGGTCACCCAAGAGAAAGGCCCTAGGCTAACTTTCAGGCAAGAGTAGGGAGGTGTTGGTGGAAGTGATTCAGGCTTCATTTGCATTGAGGGGCAGGTAAGGGTACACCCACCTCATCCTACTAGATTCCCCCATCTCAGTGCTCCTCCGTCCTGGAACTGGTCCCAGGAGTCTGGGAATCTCAGCTAAACATCTTCAAAAATAATCACCCTTAATTGTGGGAACTGACTAGAGGACTTAACTGCTCAGGCTTTAGTTTTTTATTAATTGGAATCTGGTAGAAAGAAAAGGGATATATCTATAAAGGTGAAATTTGAGTCCTGTTCCTGGATGTTGAAAGTGTTTTATATATTTTGGTAGGTAGCAATGGGGAGATGGGGCTTTCTGATTCACTTCCAATCACACTGCACAAGTTGTCGCCTACTTTACTTTCTCTAGAGTCCAGCCTAAATGAGTGTTGAAAGTGTTCCTATTTCCCAGGTAGATAACAGGACCACTATCCCAGAGGAGCTTGGAGATAACCAATATTAATATATTGTCATGGGCCTAGGCCTTGAGCCTGCAACAGAAGCCCAAAATACACCAAGATTAATTCTAGATTTTAACTAAATGTAGTTAAATTTAAAAGATCAG
This sequence comes from Homo sapiens, assembly GCF_000001405.40. Taxonomy (NCBI): domain Eukaryota; kingdom Metazoa; phylum Chordata; class Mammalia; order Primates; family Hominidae; genus Homo; species Homo sapiens. The sequence goes on along the minus strand of NC_000002.12, from coordinate 29,586,469 downwards.
AGCATTTTTTTGAGACCTAAAAGATAATATATGTGGATAGTTATTTCATTCTCAAATGTAGATAAGAATTAAATTGAACAAATCTGTCGAGATGATTACATAAGAATTAAAAATCCTATAGTTAAAAAACTTAACAAAATGGAAACACAAGCATATTTTCCATAAATACATAAGAAAATAGTCATCGTATTTAATATATGTATGAAAGCCTCACATTAAAAAAAAAAATGTTAATATCCCCCCCAAAAAAATGGGCAACTGATATGAAGCAACAATTCAAAGAAGAATACTTAAAAAAGATTAATAAAAGGATGAAAAATGATTGCAATTGCTGGTATTCAAAGATGCAAATTAAAAAACAAACCATTCTCTACTACAAAATGGCGAAGGTTTTAACTGTAATAACACAATAATGCCAATGAGGTTGTGATGAAATAGGCATGCTTTTTATGCTGTTAGCAAGAACATAAACATATTTTACAACTGTAAAGCAGTTGTATAATATTCATCAAAAGTATTAAAAATGTTATGTATTTTAAACTACTAATTCTCATAGTAGTTATGTATCTTAGGATACGTATTAAGATACATATGTATCTTAGGATAATAATTAAAAACTTGAACAAAAAATTTCTAGAAAGATTTTTTAATACAACATTATTTATAATAGAAAAAAATACCAAAGCAAAACCCTGAGAAGATGCTAAAAGCCCCCAAATGAGAAAATGGTAAATATAGAGAATATTTAATATTATAGAAAAATGCTCAGGATATTTTGTGGAAAAATCAAGATAAAAATTTGTATATGGTATATTATTTTAATTTTGTAAAAACAATTGACAGGGTGGGCACAGTGGCTCACGCGGGTGATCTCAGCACCTTGGGAGGCCGAGGCAGGTGGATCACCTGAGGTCAGGAGTTCAAGACCAGTCTGACCAACATGGCGAAACACCATCTCTACTAAAAATATAAAAAAATAGCCAGGTGTGGTGGCACGCACCTGTTTTCCCAGCTACTTGGGAAGCTGAGGCATGAGAATCACTTGAACCCAGGAGGTGGAGGTTGTGGTGAGCCGAAATTGTGCCATTGCACTCCAGCTTGGGTGACAAGAGCAAGACTCTGTCTCAAAAAAATAGTAATAATAGCTGACAGAAAATACATTGAAATATTAACTGCATAACTTTCTCTGGTGTTTGAATTGCAATTGACTTTTACTTTCTTCTTTGCATCATCACCTAAAGTAAATGTTAAAAATTTTTTAATTATACATTTATATTTTGCCTTATTCTAAAAAAGAATATAGGGTTTAAAACTATCAATAATTGAGCAACATAAAATAAATTTAAAATAATTAAGAAAGATAGAGGAGAAAACATAGATAAGCAAGTTACTATGAACCTTAGAATGTCCTTAATACAAAAAACCATGCCATGCAATTTACCTGAGAGAGGAAGCCACACGTTTGGCTGTGGGCCTCCTAAGCAGCACACACGAAGCAAAGCACACGAAGTGCTTTCCATTATAAAATTCACAGTTTAGCTAAAGCAAAACAAACCAGCTGCTTAACAAAAATGTATGTGGTCTGAAACTATGACCAGAGAGAAATCTTTTATATGGATCCTTAAAGAGACACCAATACTCAACAGCATCTGAACAATCATTGTAACAATGCATTTATGTGGCATTGCTTACAATGACTTTTCAAATACAACTGATGTCACCATGCTCAGGTGCAAACCAGAAAGGCATTCTGATCACTTGGCAAAATCCAGGGCTAGACTCCAGAACACCGAACCAGCCATTCTATAGAAGGAGTTCTGCAGGTCCTGGAGTTTCTCTGTGAAGAAAAGTATTCCTGTGAGTGTGAGACTGCCGATGATGAGGGAGGAAGAAGTGAAGGGCAGGGCCTTGAATAGTCCTATTTTTTGGATATCTTGTTTGGTATTCAAGCAAGTGTTTCCATGGTCACACGGATGTGTGGATGCCTGCATACTCTGTGTGCCTGTCTGAGAGTCACAGGGTATGTTACCAAATCAGACAGTGTTCAATACAGGCCTGCTCCAATTTATTTGACTAATTTCACTGCAAAATTCCTGTTAAGATCCAGATGAACCAACCATTAACTTTTCTCAGATTTTATTTGGGAAAAATGTCCAAGGAACACGCATTGCCTTTAAAATTAGGGGAACATCGTTTAACAAGTAATAAATGAGGAGGGTTCCTATCATGGAATGTTCATGGACTCCCTGCATCCTTGCCCTTCAGTAAATCTTGCTAGATTTAACTCAAAGATGTTTCCTAGGGTCTCCTTCTCATAGAGGCCCCCCTCAGTTCTGGTAATTTTTTTTTAGCAGCCTGGGTATTTCAGGGGGCTCTCTTGAACACCCCCTGACTTACCCTACCCCATTTGGCTTTTGCCTTTAGCCTTCTGCTCCCTTATGCTCCAGGGCTAAGATCCAAGAAAGACAGAAGCTAATTGTTTTTGTTTTATGCCAGGGAAAGAGTGTTCAAGATGCAGAGCTGGAGAAAGTGGTGACTGTTGATAGACACAGAGTAAATAAATCAGGCCTCTAATTAAATTTACATGATACATAAATAGGTTGTCTCATTTATTTAGTAAACAAATTTAGGTAGATAATGAGATTTCCACTGAAGACTGGTCATTGCCCCAGAGGCATATGCCGGCTACTTACCCTGTTAACATCCCAGGTTTTGTGTAGAATAGCTTATCTGGTTCATCAGGTGAGTGTGACTGCAAGAGATGGGACAAATGACAAACAGCAAGGAAGAGAGGTCACTGGTACAGGGGACTGTCCTTCTAGATAGTTCTCTTAGGGAGGGCAGAAGCAGGGATCTCATGGTAACTGGAACAGGAAGAGAACAGATGGAGCATGTTTATCTTGATATTAAAAGTCCAGAAACTGAGATCAAGAGAGGTTGGAATTAGAATGAGGATGCATCTATTGTGTTCTTTGTGAAGGGTTTTGCTTTGACTTAGGGGTCTAGCCAGGAGTTCGGTTGCATTGGGGAAGCTCTCTTGAATTAACAGAGACAGGCTGCAAAATTCCCCATTGACCAGTGGTGTGGTCTTGGGCAAATCATCTGGTATCTGTATGACTAACAGAGACTAATAATGATGAAAGGATTGTCAAACAGTTATGAGGTTTGAAATGCCTTGCAAATTATAAAGCATGATGCAATGTTTAGTTTTACAGTAATATTATGTAAATAACAGCAGAAGCAAAGTGTAGTGGAAGGAACAGTTTCTCTGGATTAAGAGTGCTGGGTTTGGGCTGGGCATGGTGACTCACACCTGTAGTCCCAGCACTCTGGGAGGCTGAGGCAGGTGGATCACCTGAGGTTAGGAGTTTGAGACCAGCCTGGCCAACATGGCAAAATCCCATCTTTACTAAAAAAAACAAAAAAACAAAAAACAAAAGTTAGCCAGGCATGGTGGCACATGCCTGTAGTCCCAGCTACTTGGGAGGCTGAGGCAGGCTAAAGGCTTGAACCCAGGAGGTGGAGGTTGCAGTGAGCTGAGATCATACTACCACACTCCAGAGTGGGTAAAAAAGCAAGACTCTATCTCAATAGAAAAAAAAAAAAAAAGGAGTGCTGGGTTTGAATTCTGACTTTTGTTCTTTTCCTTGTGTGAAGTTGACACTGGAAAAAAATTCTAGTTCTCTCTGGTTCCGTCTCTGTCTCTTTCTCTGCATCTGTATTTTATACTCTCTCTGTCTCTCTCACACTTGGTCTCTGTCTATGAAACACGTGTGATAACTTCTTGGAAAGGAATCTTGATGCCAGGCTTTGGAAGATCCTGTTCCTCGGAATGACTGTGCAGGTAAATGTTCTTTAGAGCATCAACACAGAAACTAACAAAATGAAGTCACATCACAGTGTGCCTTTAATCTGCAAATGCCCCGCAGAAGCCTAGCAGGCGTAAGACAAGTAAGAATGTCCAGGACATGGTATCTGAACAATCTGTCACATCCATGGCACTCACCCAATCCCGAGACCCCAATTTTAGGTTCTCAATTATCAGACTGGTCCTATGAGCTCCTGGCTCAAATTCCCTCCCAGGCCCTGTTACTGAGATACTGAACAAAATGAGATTGTGCCTTTAGAAGCAGTTAGAAGGAAGTGAGATACCCATTCTTGTAGGATTTTGGGTGGGGTTTCTGAGTACTATTCAAATATCTTCCTCCTCTATGACTGCCTGAGCAGGAAGGCCGTTTCCCTCTGCTGCACCTGCATGGTGCTCTGTTTCTGTCACTCATAGGCACTCATCCTCTTCTTCCCTCCAGAAGTGGCTCTATCTAGGCAGATCTCCCTTCTCATGAAGACTGAGCAACTCAAGGTCAGGGCTTAAGTGGGAGATATTTCTTTGTCTTCATACACTGGCCCCATGCTTTGTACAGTGAAGGCCCAATAAATGCTTGTTGAATGAATGCTCGACTTGAGTCTGCACGCAAGGAAGGGGTGGAGGCAGGATTGTGCCATGGCCACCTCCTGCAGCCTACTCTGCAGAGGCACCACCCATGCCCAGTCTTCCCTTAGTATCATCCTTTCTACATGTTTCTCTCTGCCTAAGAGGTAAGGAAACAAGGCAGGATGGACATTTAAGCCATCACTGAGCAAAAACTCAGCAGAGGCAAATGCCCAGTCTTTCCAATTTGGAAAGAAAGAAGTAAGAAGAGAGAAGAAAGGAACTCCTTCCTGTTTTGGGGATCCAGAGGGCTGAGGTCCCTCACTGCCCTGGTCATCTAGGATGGTCACCATCTCCTGGAGCTCTGGGTCTTGGTGCAAGCAACTCCCACTTCTTTAGCCAAGACGGGCAATACAGGCCTCAAGGCGCCCAGGCCACACTTCACCTTCCCAGCCTCCTCCCTCCAGTGCACTGACAGCAGGGAGAGGAGAGCAGAGCTGGTGGGAAGTGGATATGACGAAGTGGTCCTAGGAGGTGTTCCCCTGGCTCTGGGGCTAGGGGCGGGTTCCACCAGGTGTGGCCCTCCCTTTGAGCAGCTGCTCTGCACGGGCTCTGCTCATGCTTTGACTCTTTTATTTTATTTTATTTTATTTGAGATGGATCCTCACTCTGTCGCCCAGGCTGGAGTGCAGTGGCACAATCTCGGCTCACTGCAACCTCCACCTCCCGGGTTCAAGCGATTCTCCTGCCTCAGCCTCCCGAGCAGCTGGGACTATAGGCGCGTGTCACCACACCAAGCTAATTTTTGTATTTTTAGTAGAGATGGGGTTTCACCATGTTGGCCAGGATGGTCTCGATCTCTTGATCTCGTGATCCGCCCACCTTGGCCTCCCAAAGTGCTGGGATTATAGGCATGAGCCACCATGCCTGGCCACTTTGTCTCTATTTCTGTCTCTGAAACATGTGTGACAACTTCTTGGAAAGGAATCTTGATGCCAGGCTTTGGCAGAACCACATGGTATGGCCATAGAGATGGGCAGAAGATCGGACCTTGTGGAAAGAGGCACCCCATGTCCACCCACACTGACTCATCCTTGCTTCCTAGCCCTCAACACTTCTTTCTGCCTGCCTGAGACATAAGGAAACTACAACAGGAAGGGCATAGGAGCCGTCCCTCAGCAAAACCCCATAGAGCTGACCACTGCTGAACCTGTGGCATAAGCGTCAGCCCCTCTGACTCCCCGCCATTGGGCAGCAGGATGGCATAAATAGCCCCAAACCACGTCAGGGCCCGTTTTTGTTCAAGCTGAACCAAACTGTCATCTGGATGGCAATTTTCCGCTCCACATCTGTTTAGCGTAATTTAGAAATCACAGCCCTTGCACCTACATGATCGGTGCCACATGTTGCTCATCTTCCTTATTATCCCAAATTAAAGTGTTGCCTGGTATCTGGGTTTTCTGCATGGACTGTAATAACGGGGCTCTAATCTGACACCCAGTCAAACTGGGAGAAAGCAGATTGAATCAAATGGGGGTTATGTCAACCGGAGACGTGTGCTGTGGCTGGGCCTGAAATCCTACGCTTTGGTTATAAGGTTGCTCAGATGCCAGCGGTGGCCTTGCGGTTTGGCTCCTGTGCATTACAGAGAAAGGGGGAGCGGGAGAGGACACCGAAGCGAGTGCATCTGGGCTTCATTAGTGGCAATGTAATTTACAAAAGGCAGCTTTTCAGATGTTGGGATAATTAGCAGGCTGTTATCAAGGTAGTGCACGGTAATCACGGGTTGACATGAGCAATCCATGCTGGGTGAGATAAATGGGTTTGACTGGCAGGGCAGCGGTTGGACTTTCATAAAAAACAAATTGGATTTTTTTTCCTGTGGCTTAATATAAGAATCATGTGGACATATGCATAAAACCGACACAGTAGCAAAAATCCCTGGCAGAAAGAAAATGCCACTGTGCTGGGTCTCAGAGCCAATTTCTGCGTTATAAATTCTGTGGCTGTTTGGGCAGTGGTTGAAACTGGGGTGAGTGGGTTGAGGAGGAGAAAGCAATGCAGGGACCTCTCAGCCCAACCCCAGCATAAATCACAGAATAATGGACAAGTAATTTAATACTGTTCTGAAGCCTCAGAGTGAATCATTGCTTTTCCTACAATGAGTCTGGGTTCTGGGGGGTGCAGAACCTTAAGCTGTTGACTCCTAGAATTACGCCCTCTTTGGGAGCTGTATATCGGTGTGCCCAGCTTCGTCAAGACTGAAGTATTTTGCTGAGGGGGTCTTTCAACCTTCCCTCTACATATCCGGCATCTGAAGCAAATGAAACAGCTCTCAATCTGATGAGTTGACAGTTTTTCAAATCTGGCATGTAGTGGGTGCTCTTGGAGAAGCCTCAGGATGGCTCATATATGATGAGTTAGTTCCCAGAGCGTAGAGGAAAAGAGCAAAATATCACCAAAGTGTATAGAGGACATCGCTGAGGACATCTGGGAGGCTGTCAGGGATTTCTTTGCATATAACAATGCACATAAAAATCAAAGTCTAGCTGAACATTTGCTATCACATCATTCCCATGTGGATAAGAATTTCATTTTGTTGAAGTTCAAATTAAATAAGCCATGGGGATCTTTAAGGCCTCTGAAGCTTGTGGGATACAAAGGAAGAGCGGATACTATTTTTCATGGCAAGTTGATAGAAAGACAGCTATTGGTGCAGGAATAAGTTCATCTTTAAAGATCAGAAAGAGCCTGGAACGCTAAAGCTGGAACGGAACTTAGGCATAAACCATCCATAGGTGAGGCAAGTCAAAGACAAAATTGCTAACACAAGGTCACACGGCAAATTGGCCACAGTGTCAAGGCTATGGCCCTGGGCTTTGGGCATTTTCTGTTGTGCTACTTGGTGCCCTGTGGATTTCCAGACCCATTCAGCAGGGCTACCTAGAGATGCTGAAGAAAGGGCCTGGCAAGCCAGGTGCTCTCCAGAACATCAAAGTGCAGATAGCTAGTACTTCTTCAAGAGTGTGCATTCTCCTGCTGACATTGCTTTTTAGACTTTCTCCCTCCCCATTCAGCAGTCCATGCCTTGGCTTCCTGGCATCACCAGCCAGGAAAGCACAGAGACAGTGCTCAGATTGTCTGAAGGGCAGGTCCAGGGGTGGGGAGAAGAGCTGGACTCCAGGGTAGATGCAGTCCCAGGCTGGGATCTGCACTAACCAGCGGGTGACCTTGGGCAAGTCTCTTCACTGCTCTGGCCCTTAGACTCCTTTGACTCTGAAACGTGGACATGAAATCAACCATCTCTGTGGCTTTTGAGGCAGTTTTTGCTTTGCTGCAGTGGAACCCTTTATTCCGGGTGACCCCTTCATCATCACATACCCCTGCAAGAAAGAAAGAGACAGGGTATGGTGGTTCTAGTTGAAGACAAGGAAGAAAGCCAGAGAATGCCTTCACATGGGAGCCCCCCTACCCCCAAACAGGCCCTGAGGGCCCTCCTCAAGCTTAGGACTCCACAGAGTTAGGAAAACACTGGAATAACCATCCTCAAAGACCCTTTCGGCATCAGCACTTCATGATTCTATTAACAGCCTGGAGTCAGGTGTCCAGACAGAGACTATGTAAATTAGGGCACCATACCCTGCAACCTCTCCCTGAGCTACAGTATTAGTCTGTTCTCATGCTGCTGATAAAGACATACCTGAGACTGGGCAATTTACAAAAGAAAGAGGTTTAATGGACTTACAGCTCCAGATGGCTGGGGAGGCCTCACAATTATGGTGAAAGGCAAGGAGGGGCAAGTCATGTCTTACATGAACAGCAGCAGGCAAAAAGAGAGCTTGTGTAGGGAAACTCGTTTTTAAAACCATCAGATCTCGTGAGACTTATTCACTATCATGAGAACAGCATGGGAAAGGCCCACCCCATGATTCAGTTATCTCCCACTGGGTCCCTCCCATAACACGTGGGAATTCAAGATGCGATTTGGGTGGGGACACAGCCAAACCCTATCAGTTAGTGTAGATCAAGATTCACTCTTCTTCCTCTTTACCTAGAGGAAAGAGCCCAATGCAACTAGGGGGTGCCACCCTGGGCCTGCCAGTGCCGCCACCCCTCAACTTTCCCCTGACCTAAGAAACAGTCTGGCTTCGAGGATTGAAGACCATATCCTGCAAAAAGACAGGTCTTGGGTGTCTGACGAATTGGCTTATAGTGTCCATTTAGGTTGCCAGAAAAGATTCATCAACTGTCAGCTCATGTGAGAACGAGAGCAGAGATTCACCAAGCATGTGCTTTTGTCTCACATCAGTGTTTTAGGCCATCTGGGAGACAAAGATGTGGTGAGGAGCCAGTCACTCCTGTGTTTGCAGAGCTGGGGGAGGTTGCACTTGCTAGAAGGATGGTCCCATGATGGGCAGTGATGCCTAGAACTGTAGCATCCCCTGGGGCAGGGCCCTCATCTCCTTTTTCTACCTTTACTAATCCTTTATCGTCATGGCCACAGATCTCCTCCGTGTAGACTTACCGGTCCCATCCCTTCCCATGCATCTATTATTATCTGTTATTTAAGGCAATTAGACACATTCCTACCACCTTCCCACCATTCAGACTGCTCGTTAAATTTCTTTTTGCCTTTTGTCACACCTGAGGGAGGGGAGGAAGTGACTGAGCAGAGCATACAAGGACCATGACAGATGTCATCTGCTTTAAGCGTATCTGAAGTAGGCATCTTTATTTACTTCCATATGAAGAAACTGAGGCTCAGAAGGGTAAAATGACTCAAAGAGAGTGAAGGGCAGGCCAAAGATCTGAACCCAAACACCCCAGAGTTTATTTTACAAACATCCAATGCCACTTCCTGCGAGAATGTGGGTGAAGTCTTGGGCTCCCGAGGCGGGTGCCATGCATGGGCTGACAGGCATCTAAGAAGTTCTCCAGAGCAGCGGTCTCCAACCTTTTTGGCACTGGGGACTGGTTTCGTGGAAGATGATTTTTCCACAGACCAGGGGTGCAGAGTGGTTTCAGGATGATTCATGCACATTCCAATTATTGTGCATTTTATTTCTATTATCATTATATCATAATATGTAATGAAATAATTATACAATTCACCATAATGTAGAATTGGTGGAAGCCCTGAGCTTGTTTTCCTGCAACTAGATGGTCCCATCTGGGGGTGGTGGGAGACAGTGATGGATCATCAGGCATTAGATTCTCATAAGGAGCATGCAACCTAGATCCCCCGAATGTGCAGTTTACTGTAGGGTTTGCACTCCTATGAGAATCTAATGCAGCCACTGATCTGACAGGAGGTGGAGCTCAGGCGGTGATGTGAGCAATGGGGACTGGCTGTAAATACAGATGTAGCTTCGCTCACTCACCCACCACTCACCTCCTCCTGGATGGTCTGTGGCCCTGGGGGTTGGGGACCTGTGCTCCAGAGGACCTGCTAGCATGGCTGTCAGAGGCATCTGCAATCAGCATGGGGCTTCACTGAGAGCAGTCATCAGGCAGAGAACCGAGCTGAACAGGGAGGGACAAATGTCAACAGAGCACCTGCTGAGGACATGGGCCCTGCCCTTACCAAGTTGGCATTGACAGTTGAGGGCATTTGCCAAGTTAGCCTGCAGTTGGAAGGCAGTGTGCATGGTGGTAGGAAGGAAAATGTAGAGCAACACCCAGACGGGCCGGCAGCATGGCCCTAGAGGAGGCAGGAAGGAGAGGCTCATGGTTCTGCTCCTGATCTCTGGGAGCTTAATGGGCAGTGGAGTTGTTGACAAGCACACTTGTAAGCCAGACTATTTCTTAATGCCTTGTGATTATTTAGGGATTTGCTTTTCAGCACATCCTAGCTCTCTGCTTCATTCATTTCTTAGTCTCAAAAATGTGTCTCTGTTTCACTTCAAATGACCTAGAGCAGCCAATCAGTCAGCCCCAGTTCCTGACTGCACCCCGTGCACCCACTGGCTAATTATGAAATGGGATAACTGCAGGCTCTTGCAGGTTCTTCCTTATTCCAGCTTCAGGAGCACATAGGCACATCTTAACTGGGAGGCTCAGGAGGTGCACAGTATGCTCTCATATAAACACATTTCCTCTGCATCAACCTCTGGTGTTCAGAATATGCCTTTCATGAGCCCATCAGCCACACCCCTGCTGCAAAGCCCCCTGGACTCCACTCTGTTGGAGCATTTGGCAACCCCAGCAGACTTGACCAAAAGAAACACCATGCTGGGGCCACAGCACTGCAGAAGAGCAATCTTCTGCTTAGAAACTTTCCAAAGGACTGGGAACTCACTTATCTGCCGGCAAAATTGCCAGCTTGGGAATTCAGCACTGCTTCTCTGCAAAATCAGGCGCTGAATTACCCTGCACTTAACAAATGGTTGCCCTGCTCTCCTAAAGCTGCCAACACAAATTGAATTGTATTTTTTCATTGGTGTATATAGTGGGTGTGTGCTAGAGCCAGCACTAATTTCCCCCTAGCAAGATAAATGCACTGACCCGAGCCTTCGTGCTTTATTCTGTCTCATTCTAGCAAATTAAAATGTCACAGAGCTATAGCCATCCTTTAGGAGACTGGGTCAGGTGGGGATGAGGGAGGTTGCAGTGGGGGTAGGAAGCCTATCAATTGGTCTCCTGCCTCAGCTGCAACTTAGATAACTAAAGAGAATAAAAACAGATGAAACCTGGTGAAAACATTCGCAGCTTTCCATAAAATAAGTCTGTAGAAGGCCGTGTCAATGGAATCTCGCAAGAAGCAAAATGTATTATTTTTGGCAGTTTTCTTCAGGGTAATTTTTACATTGCTGGTGTCCTCTCTTGGATTTCCACCTCCCCCCGCAACACCGTTCACCCTTATAACCAACCACAATCAATTTGGTTTAATTGAGTTCTATGAAAATTTTCACCTAGAGAGGCCACTTCATGAATCAAAGTTCATCAGCATACAACGTTGAGGCAATCAGAAATAGAGTCTGATTTAGAGAGGCTCTCACAGGGACTTGCAGGAGGAAACGGGGCTGTGTTTGCAGCTGGAGTGCCGCTGGTTGTGCCTGCCTGAATTCTCTGAAGTTGCCGTGCAGGTATTAATAATGTAACACCTGGTTTCACATGTGTTTTTCTGGCAGTCATCTCCCCAGCATCAAAGGGCACTTCAGCAGGCTCACCTTCATCCTTTTTGGAAAGGGTGTGTGTGGGACTGTGCTGCGTCCCATTTTCCAGAGCAGAAAATGCGGGCTTAGAAGAACCTCCCCAAGTACCTAAGCAGTAGCTGAGAGAAGAGTTCAGCACGGCCTCCCCTCCTCATCAGCAAAAGGTAGAAACACCAACCCGCAGGAGGCCCTGCCTCAAAGCAAGTCTAGGGAACTTGTACCCATTCCTGCCTGCACGCCCAGAGGTCAAGCTTTTCTCACCAAATCTTCATTAACAAGGTCCTGCCAAGAGGCGCTTCATACCAGAAGCAGTCAGAGAGATGCTGTTTGGAAGCTGAAATATGAGTCTTTCTCAGACATTTCAACGGTTTATAGGGCCGGCAGGACCAAACATATAAAATCAAGTCTGTCCCAGAAAATTCAAGCTAAATGGTAGCCAACCCATGGGGGCTTAAAATCAAAAGCAGAGAACACCAGCACAGACAGGTGGGAAGAGGCCCATGTTGGTGATACTTAACCCCCTCATGTACGTTTCGGTTTAGAAAGAGCCTTCTTATTCAGGATCTCCCTCGCCGTCCTGGAAGGTGGATGGAGAAGTGGTGTCATGGCCCTGCTCAGCCAGCAAGAAGCCCAGGCTTAGGGAGATGCAGTGGTAAGAGCAAATCTTTTTTGCACAGCTGGGATCCAAACACAGATCTGCTGACACCAGAGCCATGCTCTAACCACTGCACCACAGTCCCTCACCATACCAGCTTGCATGCAGTGGGACTTACTTGTTCTGCTCCGGCATCAGTAAATGCTGCAAGGACATTTTTTTTTTTATTTTTTTCAGATAGGGGGTTCTGGCCAAGGACTCTCCTCCCTCGAGGTCTTTGTACTTGGTATTCTCACTACCTGAAATTCTACCCACTATATATCCATCTCTCTCTCCTTTTTATTGTGCAGGTCTCTGCTCAAATGTCAGCTCATCAGTGAGATCTTTTCTTCAGTGAGATCTTTTCTTACCACCCACCCATGCCCATCACATTCCATTTTCCCTTATTGCATGAATCAGTCTTTATTTGTATACTGTCTGTTTCCTTCCTGTGAGTGTAGTCATGAGCACTGACACCTTGTCATGTTTGTTGTTCTATTCCCACTGTCAAGGTTAGGAGTTGGCTGTTTTTGTAAAAGGCCTGATAGTAAATATTTTAGGTTTTGTGGCCCGCACGCTCTCTGTTGCAGCTGTTAAACTCTGCCATAGTAGTACGAATAATACATGAATGATACGTGTATGAATGGGCCTGACGGTGTTCCAGTGAAATTTTGGTGGACACTGAAGTTTGAATTTCATATAATTTTTACATGTCACCTGGGCAATAGAGTGAGATCCTGTCTCAAAAAATTTTTTTTACATTTTAAGAAATAGTCTTCTTTTGTTTGCTTTTAAACCCATTTACAAATGCAAAAGATAAGCATATAACATTCTTACCCATGGGCTGTACAAAAACAGGTGTTAGACTGGATTTGGCCTTGATGCCATACTTTGCAGACGGACCTCTGATCCAAATTAGTGGCTGGCACAGAGCAGGTGCCTAGTAAATAATTGTTGAAGGAGTGACCAAACCAACGCATAACTATATCATGAAATTGCATCAAGCAACAGGTAATCAGCCATCAGGTGTTTATGGAGCAGCTGGGTGCTCTGAGGGATGCTCTAGAAGTCAGATCCAGCCCAGTTCTCAGGGAGCCACAGTCTTGTTTTACAAGTAAGGGGAGGGAGAGAAAGGAGGGAGCTGTAGAAGTTCATCAGGAAAAGAGAAGCCAGGCAGATATCCTAGTTTCCCTGCAGCTTACCCAGAAATTGAGTTCCCTTGGTAAAAACTGCTTTGGAACTAGAGACGGGATGGTGAGCTCAGAAGCCAGGGCCTGAGGAGGACAGTGTTGTCTTGGGGGCCTGGTGCTCCAGAGAGACACCACAGAATGCTTGCCACAGAGATGCATGGACCACCACAATCCCGCTGTCCAGGGCTGCGTGAAGGAATGCACTGGACATAGTGGGGAGGGGAGGAAGAGGCCCCTCCTACAGACTGAAGGAATGGGTGGATGAGGGGCATTTTCCCAAGACAAAATATTTGAGAGAAGTCTTCATTCATCTGTTCAGCTCCCATGTTTTGAGAGGCGTGGGGATTGGAGCTGAAGAACAGGCAGGCATGGTCCTCACCTTTAAGGGATGACAGTAGAAAGGGGATCATAGACGCTAAAGGTTATTGTGTTAAATTTGTGGGAGGTGCTCTGGTGAAGAAATAGAGGCTGCTATGAGAATATAATAACCACCCAGATAGGCGCCACAAAGGGGATGGATTTTCCTGGCACACAAGGTCAGGGGGGCATACCAGGCATGCAGGGCAAGTGACAAGTCGCCATGGCACAAGAGAGCCAGGCGTGCTCAGGAACTGAGCCATCAGTATGACCAGACTGCAAGAAGTGTGCTGCTTCCCTAGGACCTTGCTTACTAAGCTGAGGAGTTTGAGTTCAATCCTGAAGTCTGAAACGTTTCATTTAAACGGTGGCCGACCATGTTTCTGAATGGCCCACAACGCTGACGTCTCCTTCCAGGGCTCAAGACCTCTCCACAAATATGCCTCACCTGGCAATTTCCAAGAAAAGAAATCTTCATAACTAATTCAGGATAAACAAATCCAAAATGGCTTTAAGTGACATCAGCAGAGAGACCCTCAAGTGCCACAATTTGGAAATGATACTCAACACAGGCCTTAGATTCTTGAAAATGTGACTTGACTTCCCACCTTGCAGGATACAAAGTTAAGCGTTGCCTCCAGGGAGCTGAGCTCCTTTCCCTAACATTGGTTCTTGGTCTTTTCATCCCTCAGTCTAGCAAGGCTCAGCCCATTCTTCACCTGGGCTTTCTTTGTGTTTGCAGATATTCTCATGGTATTAGTCTGTTCTCACACTGCTATAAAGGTACTTGCCAGTGGGGTGCTCTAGTTCACACCTGTAATCCCAGCACTTTGGGAGGCCGAGGCAGGTGGATCACGAGGTCAGGAGTTCGAGACCAGCCTGGCCAATATGGTGAAACCCGTTTCTACTAAAAATACAAAAATGAGCTAGGCACGGTGGTGCACACCTGTAGTCTGAGCTACTCAGGAGGCTGAGGCAGAAGAATCGCTTGAACCCAGGAGACGGAGGTTGCAGTGAGCCAAGAGCATGCCACTGCACTCTAGCCTGGGCGACAAAATGAGACAACATCTCAAAAAAAAAAAAAAAAAAAAAAAAAAAAAAAAGATATGAGCCAAGACTAGGTAATTTATAAAGGAAAGAGGTTTAATTGACTCACAGTTCCACATGGCTGGGGAGGCCTCAGGAAACTTAGAATCATGGCAGAAAGCAAAGGGGAAACAAGGATGTTCTTCACAATAGCAGGGGAAATGCCAGATTCTTATAAAACCATCAGATCTTGTGAGAACTCACTATCACAAGAACAGCACAGGGGAAACTTCCCCCATGATCCAATCACCTCCTCCCTTGACACGTGGGGATTGCAGGTCCCTCCCTCGACATGTGGGGATTACAATTGGAGATGAGATTTGGGTGGGGACACAGAACCAAACCACATCACTAGTCTATAAACTACCTCTGTGTGTGGCTGAGCCCCTCTCTGTAGGTCTCTAGGTGCCCCTGAGAGTTTATCTCTGACTTCTTTGTGGCCCCTTAGGTGTCCTTAGCTCTCTCTGCAAAGCTGTTCATTTTCATCTTTCACAAACAGGGAGAGAGAACACATGGTAAGGTGCCCCCTCCACTATCTCCCTCCAGGACTGTGGGCTCTTCCTATGTTTCTTTATGTCTATTTTTCTCTCCTCCAACTCTTTCTTCCCCCTCCTTTTTCTCCTTCCTTTCTCCCTGAGTCTCTGCTCTGTAATTATCCATAATATAAACAGATTTTATTATTTGTTATAAGTATTTGAAAAGATTTTGTGTTTCCTGCTTCTAGTTTAAAAGGCTGCTGAGAGAACAGTGTCTAATTCCTTTCTCAGAAACAGGTAAATAAAAGTTTTGCTTTGCTGATGAGCCCTGGTTGGATAAAATGTTCGCCATCTGCACTCTGCACAAGGAAGCCCTCTGCCAGGGAACCCTGCTTTCATCAAAATCACTCCTGACCAGCCAGCTTTACTGTCGAGAGAGCGAAACGTCTAAAAGAGATAAGCTATGCCCGTCAGAGGCTTTGAGGATCCTTGCCCTGGAGCTGGCATTTAACAAGTTCTAAGAGAGAGAAATGTTCTCCCAGGACTCAGCCTCAGAGCCTGCTCCTGCAGACCCTGTTTCTATCTTAGGGTGAGACCCTGTGTCTCAGGCTGTTTGACCTTTACAATCCCTCACAATCCAGAATCTCTGAACACTTTCTGTTCTAATGTTTCCCTCTTCCCATGCAGCTCTCCCAGAATTTTAACATTCTTGAGCACTGTCGGTCCTACCTGGGCACACCTGCCAAGCTTCCTTGGAAAACAGGCCCTAAAAATTAAGCCAACTTCATAGGCACAGATGACTACATACACACTTATCAACTCTTTTCCTAAAACATCATCTTCCAAGTCCAGTGTCTTTGTGACATCCGGAGCATTGATCGCTCCTATTTCTTTATCTTCTCTTTCTTTTTAGAAATCCATTAGAATCCTAGGTTTTAATAGTTGTTTCCTTGATATAAGGAGTTTAATTGTGCAGCTCTTAGCATGCCCTAGAGAGTCTAATGAGAAATAAATAATCCTAAGTAGCCTCCCTTAGGAATGAAGGATAAACTCTACCCAGAGGCTCTGTTGTTAAGGAGACTTTGCTAGTTGTTTCCACAGTGTTAGGCTACTCCCCAATTAAGCAGGTGGTTCCTTCAGGCCTGGGGTCATTTCTTATCATTTCTTATCCTACTAGGGTGTTCCCTTTCCTCTGGAGCTCTGAGCCTGGGCAAGCAGGACCTGAGCTGGAGGCTCTGTGATCAGCAAGCTTATAATGCAGAGGAGGGAAGGGGGACAACCTGGAACCCAGGTTCTTCCCCTCCTAGAGTGGATGTGGGGTTCCAGGGACCCCTGAAGAACTTTCAACTGGAAAGCAGGGATCCCTGCTTGCCCAGGATCTGTGCTAGGGACTGAAGGGAATACCCTAGTAGAATAATCATGTTAGTCAGTTGATGGTGGAATCAGCACCACCCCACCAGAGCCCTCTGGTGCCCTTTGATTGTTTGAGTGATGGCCAAGAAACCCTATCAGTTTTCATGTGCTGCCACGTCCTCATCTGTAAAAGGAGACACTGTCTCTGGACCTCACTAGGGGGGGGGAAGAAAAGGGAAAGAAAGTCACATTTACTGGGCATGTTCTTTGAGTCATATTCTGTGTTAGGTACTTTCCCATTCATTATTACCCACCTACAAGGTACATGTAAGTATCCAACCCATTCTATAGACAAGGAAACTGAGATTAAGTGATTTACCCAAGTAATGCATTATTAGGGATACAGATGGGATTACTTGGCTATGTAAGGATGCAGAATGTCACTGGAAGGGCTCACTAGGTGTTAATCATTGCTGCTGCTGCTGCTGCTCCTGCTGCAGCTGTTGCTGTAATTATAGAAAGTCAGGCTATTTGATTTCCAACCCCATGCTCTAAGGGTGAATGAAAGGAAACTTGCAAAATTCCTTGAGACGGGCAGGATGATGAGCCTCACAGGTTGGATAAATTCAAGCAGTTTAAGCCATAGGCAGGTTCAAGTTAACAGTCAGTGCCCAGAGGGCTTGCTGGTGGGGCAATGTGGCATGTGATTGGAAGCCCTCTGGGTGCTCAGTCTCTGGCCTTCCTCTTTGGATGGAAACAGGGGTACTGCAGAGAGCCAAGGCTAAGGTCTGAAAAGAAAGACTCATCCCCCGCCCTGTCCCACCCAAGGTAAAAGGTGGAGAGACCCAGCATAACTTTAGGGAGTGCACTGTCAGCCCCTCCTACAGACCATACACAAGGGTCAGTTCAAAGTGCTGTCATTGCCCATGGCGACACCACTGCCAAGCGATTGTTTTTCCACCTAGTCCCACTGAGAAAACACTGGCAACACACAGCATCTTTATAGATGACAAAACAGGACCCCAAAGGGGAGAAGAGCTTCTCTCAGATTCCAGTTAGTTCTTTCCCCTTCTTTGACCACCTCTGCTAACCGAACCCACACCCATGCTTTCTCTTCCTTCCTGCACTTTGGAGGTTCTGCAGTTAGTGAGCTTACAGAGCAGGGGAGGGAAGGGAGACAATCTGGTACCCAGGTTTTTCCCCTTCTGGAGTGGGTGTGGAGTTCCAGGGACCCCTAAAGAACTCTCGACTTGAAAAGCCTGCCCTCCCTACACTTTGAGTCACCCACCTGAAAGCACACTAGACATTTGAATTCCTGACTGCAGCCGGCTCTCAATTAGGTTTTCACTGCCCCTTGTCAGTTCCCTAGCTAGATTTCGGCAGTGACACTTGTTGTAGCCACTACAGAATGTGGCAATGGAAAGAAAAAATGTCACTATGCCGTTGTCAAAAGAGGAAAGGCACTCTGTTCAATCAACTGTGAGAGAGATTGAATTATTTATAGTGCCTTTGTCAGTCACTGCAAAAGGTAATTTCATTGCTTGAATTTTAAGTTTTTCATTAATTAACCACTTTTTCAGTTCAGTGCTCCGCAGCCAGGCAGAAACCCACTGCAGAGCCATTTCTGAAGAGGGCGGGGGCCCTGCTGCTCCCAGTGACATATGGATGTCTCTGTGTTTTTGCTTTTCTGCAGTCACTTTTGCTGTGTGCTGGTACAGATATTGGATGTTTCATTTAAGGCTCAGAGTCTCACCCAAACTGTCTGCAATTTAATATATCTCAGTATATACGCTGGTAAATCATCTCTGTGTCATTTCTCTCAATGTTCTGTTATTAAAGTCCATTTTTCATGGTAAAATATTCCTCCAAGAGATGGCACAAGGTACACACATCCCCAAGCCTAGTATTTAACGCTAATAGGCTGAGCTTTCTCTGAAACTAAACTTGGAATTGAGAAAATATAGCAGAATGAATCAGGAAAATGCTTTCTTAGAAACGGAATGGGATTTAGACTAGAAAGGGAGTTCAGAAGAAAGCTTACATTTTACCTGAACTGTCCAGATAATTGCTTTATTTTTTTTCTTCTCTTGGAGAGTGGAAACGTGGCCAGACGCACCTTGGGAATGGTTTCGGGGAGTCTGTGCAATGATACCCCAAAAGGAGCAAGCATGCAAAGTTTATAAAACTTTTTCAGGTGAAGCAATAAGTTAATGATATTGTGTGATTGTGAACCTCCTGTCTGAAGGCAAGAGTCTTCCAAATATTACCCCTGCTAGAAACAGAGAGTAGACAAAAGCTGTGTCAATTCAAGAGAATACTTGAATACGTACTAAGTGCCAAGCACAGGACAGGTCTGGGGATGTGGAGAATATGGACTTGACCCCTGCCCATTTATGAGCGACTGGAATGAGATGGAAAACACTGGCAGAAGCTGCTTCTTGGCTCTTGGAAAGGCCAGTATTTCTGGGGCCTAGTCATATGATCTTACTCTTTCTAGAAGACATTAATAATCTGTCAACAAGGATGGAGTATCTATCAAATCCTAAATGCTGCAAGAATGCTGACGCCCAGTAAGACAACCAAAAGGTGTTACCTGGTCTGTGTTGCCTTTGGTTGTTGAGAACAGCTGGCTTTTCTTAAAGATCCCTCCTGCACTGTGACTTCTTCATTTACATAGAGCACCACCCCAGAGTTCCTTGAATCTTAAAACATAAAAAAATAAAAAATCAATTATATAATTTAAGTTGACAAAACTAACATATTCATTGTAGAAAATTAAGAAAATGAAGATAAACAGAAAATTACTCATAGCTTATGACTTAAAGATTTCTACATTTAATGTTTTGATGCTTATTCTTTCAGTTTTTTTTCTTTGTATATATTTACATACATGGTTTATATATCATATTGCATTCTGTTTTGTGGCTTTATTTATTATGTAGATATATATGATGATCATCTCCCAGGTCATTAATTACTTTCCTTCAACCTTATCTCCCATTCTCATTATATGCATGAATTAGTTCATTTAACTATTCTCCTTTTTAAGCTGTTTCCAATTATCTTTTGCCATTACAATCAATATTTCCTATAATATTTTGGAAAATACATTTTTATTCACTTCCATAATCATTTCCACTAAATTTGGGTTTTAATTGCTGAGGCTAGGATTTTTGCCAAATCTCAAGGTTTTTGCCAAATTTTCCTCCAGAAATCTCCAACCAATGTATGTTCCTACCGGCCATGTATGTGACAATTTGTTCTCCCACATTCTTGCCTTGGTTCCTTTGACTGTCTAGAGTTCACTTCTTAACAACACATGAGTGTACTTGGGATACCCTACTCCCAACTATCATCAAAGTTCCATGCAGACCCGAATCAGTATATGCAGAGCTTCTTATTTCTTGTTTTGGGGTGCAGCAAATTGATGTTGCTACTATTGTTAGCATCTTAAATAAAATGAGGCAGGCTAGCAGCCCCTCCTGGAAGTTCTGGCAAACTCGGTGTAAACCCAAGATGCCTAGACTAAGCCTGTTGTGGCCAATCAAATCATGTGGACCTCTTTAATGACTAACTAGGATTTGGCCATGGTGAATGGCCCTCGCGAACATGCAGAAATAAATTGGACCGCTCATAAAGTGATCCAGGCAGGGTGACCCTGGGTGGGTGGCCCTGGCTCCAAACTTCACATGGCATCCTGTCCCGGCTTTTGTCCCTGTAAGTTTGTCACTCAACCAGCCTTAACCTCTCATACGGAGCATCTCCTGGAGACCTTCCACAGCTTGACACACTGGGAGAGTCACTCGAAGAAGTAAGAGCTGACAGGTGCTGTCCCACAAAGCTCTGAGTGCTAATAGCAGTCCCCTCACCTGCCCATAGGGTTTCTCTTTCTTTTCTCTTCTTTTTCTTTCCTCCCTTTTTTAACTGTGTTAATTTAATCTCGCCAATATCAAACTCCTATGCGAGAGGTAATAAAATCCTTTTAGGAGTGAAGCAGAGTTTATGTTGAGAGGAACAATCTGTCAGTTTTGCAGGGTGCTATTAGATGGCTGCTGTGCAGTGTGCTGAGGCGAGGTGAGGCTGGCTGCCTTTGTCTGTGGCCCTGCTCTTCTTTGTGACAAGCCTTGCCCAGGGCAACGTGGTGGCTGGTGATTAGGAGAGCTTGGCCACTACCTCAGGAGTGCTCCACTGAAGAACCTCATGAAAAAGTGGATCCCAAGGGCTCTTCTTGTTTGTTTAGGCTCTGCTGTTGTTATTCTCTGCTGCTGTGGCTATCTGAGATTGCTTTTCCATAATCCACCTGCTTGATACCTGGTTTCTAGCACTCCTCTGTTCCCCTTTCCTTTCCACCGGCCTCCCCTCAATAACTGTGAGCTTCCTTTGGGCTTGCTAAACACTAAGCAGGGTCTTGGGATGTATATGTATCCATCTTCCTGCCCTTCCGTGCTCACCAGTAGGAAGCTAACGCCGGAAGACCCGAGTTCAAATCTCAGTTCCACCAGTTAGGGTCTTTATGTCCTTGCTCTTAGATCTTCTTTGCTTCAGTTTTGTCATTTGCAAAAATTGGCACAGTAATCTTTCCTAGCATTTATGGAAGGGTTAAGTGAGAATATAGTAAATCTTCTGCCACAGAGGGCAATGTCACTTCATGACCCCAAAGGGCACCATATCACGTTGTCACCTAGAGTTGTACATTAGTCCCTTCTCCAGCTCCGTGTCTGTACAGAGTAGGCAATTGGCAAATGGAAGCTGTGGTTATTGTCGATATTATTTTTTGTTCTGCTTTTTTCTGAAAGCTACCTCAAGTCACTTGCTGTGCTGTTACCCCTAAGGGTATTCTAGTGAATGCCCTGGTTATAACTGGCCTGCAAGCCTGGGTTCCCAGTCTCTCTGTAATAAAGCAAGAGAACACAGGGGTCCTCTCAGATTGAACCCTAGAAAATAACCATGCAGGAACCAAGTTGTGGCCACACAAACACACTAAAAATAAAGCAACAACGGAAAGATGACAAGAGTGGCTCAGCCTCCCTCCACCTCTGAGTGGAACCTGAGATACCCCCTCCCTTCCTGAGGCCTGCAATTCCTCACGCATAATGACCTCAGTGGTTTCTCTGAGTTATGCTATTCCAAGACTCTGCAAATATGAGTGCCTTTTATCATTTCTATTTTTAAGAGGGAAATGGAGAAAGAAGAGGAGTGGATGAGAGGGCAGGTTGACCAGTCCAGTGTGAGGCAGCTCCTCAGAATGACAACAGTAGCGACAGGAAATCTTCTAGGAGATGGCGTTTTGCCACAAGGTCTCAAAATAGCTAGGAAGAGAGTCTTCTCTTACAAGGGTGGCGGTGGGGGTGGTGGTAGGGATCCTTTATGCAAGGCACAGGGTTGAATATTCTATGTTCACTCATTTTTATTGGAAGATCCATTTGACAGTGTCTGTTTTTCTGATTATTTGATTTTGTTTTGATTTTGATAGTTAGGATAGTTGGGTAAGAAGAAGCACCTGTCACCCCTTGAGATTGGCCTTTGAGAGTCCAAGTTAGAATTGTTTGTTCATGGGGTGCCAAGTATTATCCCAGGGAGTTGGGAGAAGGTAGCTTCCCATGTAGCTGAGTCCAAAGCTCGCACCACTCACCGCACGACAGCCAGTAAGTCAAGAGACAAGGTGTTGGGGCAAGGAAGATGCCCCATTATGGAAGATGTCCCCATAATATTTCAGGGAGCCAGCAATCTGAGAAGATGGTGGGCTAATGTCCTAAAGAACCACCTTAAAGGGCATAAATCTCAAGCTTCTTTTTATATTGGGAAGGGGGAAAAAGGAGGCGGCTGAGGTTAGGAGGTGGCAGGTGACCACAAATGTTTGGGCATCAGCAGGAGTCTAAAAGGGTTGCATAACTTCTTTGCCCTTGGTCAGGCCACAGTGCTTCTGTAAATCATTAGAAAAACATTATTACTTGTGTGTATGCTCCTTATCTCTTTGAGGGCTAGTTTTAGGAAGGGACTATTCTCATCCTTGTCTTAGAGTTAAACTATAAACTTAACTCCCCCCATAGTTCATTTGGCCTATGTGCAGAGATAAGCAAGAACAGTTAACCTAAAAGATATCATCGCAGATGGTGAGAGTTGGGGGTCAGGAGCAACATGGAGTTAGCCATGTTAGGCCTCCTTTTCACTGTTATACCCACATCAGAAAGAGCCTCTTGGTTTGTATGTTACAAAACCATAAATTCCTCTCCATCCCTTTGATATCTCTTTCAGCCTCTGCCATGTCTGTCTACAGAATTTGGCTGATCTCAGGTGAAGGCCATGACCCACATGAGCAAGGTCACTGTGGAAGGGCATGTGCTAGGTTTTGAAAATGCTTCTTTTTTATTAATATTCTCAAAATCAGGCAGGAAGATATTCCTGAGTTTTTCTGGTACTTCCCTGCTCCTCTCCCAATTCCTATATAGACTCTCCACCCCGTGGAATCTAGTGATCCTTTCTGAATAGCGCTAGGTGTTCCCGTTCTGTAATCCAAGTAAACCCTGCTGCAACAAATTTAAAACAAAACCATATGTAAAGACACCCTACCCAGGTATCTAGCACAGATTATGAGTATTCAATATACCTACATTGAATTTGAAATGAATTATCTTTGGACAGAGATGTGGATAGTTAGGCTGCCTAAGAAGCAAATATATCCTACCACAGTCTGGGCTCTGCGCCAGCAGAGAGGAGTCCAGCATAGCCCCTCCTCTTTGGGAGACCATGTTTTTGTGAGTAAAGCCACATAAGGAGCAGCTTCAATTCACAGCCTGGAGTTTAAATGGCCTCTCCATGCAGGAGATGTGATTTGCATTTGATCTTAGCTTACCTTTGGGAAACAAATCATTTCCCCAAATAGAAGGTACCCTACTTAAGATAGACCCAATCCTTTCGAATCTGTTAAGCCCTCTGTTGAGTATTGTCATTTTGCCAGCATCCCCAAACTTTGGTCACTGGAGCACTTGACAGAAGGCTAATACTTAAGAAATAAGTTGTAATAATGAGAATTCCTTCTCTGTAGACAGTCTTTGCATTCCAGTAAATTGGGTCCACATTCACTGGATGAGTATTTTGTGAAGTGTCATACTCAAATGTAAAAGGTTTATGGATGAGAAGTTTCAGATTTTTTTTCCCCCTTCTTCACTCTCTTCTTTCCAATTGTTCTGCTATTGAGCCAATGCAGTGTGGTGGTTCATTACTAGGAGTGTAATGGCCTTATCAAGGAATGTAATTGTCCTGCTGTACTGGCCCTGGGCAGACACCATCTGGAGGGTGAGCATTTGGAAGTTTCCCAGCTTAGAGAGAAAACTGATAAACTAGAGCTGAGAGATGGTTACAGGCCTGGAAAGGAGGCCATGCAGTGAACAGATCAAGGAAATGGGATGTATAGTGTAGAAAAGAGTAGAGAAGTCCTGGTAATTGTGTTCAAATAGTGGAAGGACTCTCATGTGAAAAGGGGCTAGACTGAATCAGTCTTTGTCCAGATGGCAGGACTAGGACCCATAAATGGACATTAGAGAGCAGCAGGGTTGAGTTTAGACTGGGAAAGACATGTCTAACAATTAAAGCTCATCCAACACAGAGAAGCTGTCTCGTAAGCCACAGACGGCACCCACCCATGGTTGTCCAGCAGAAACTGGCTGTCTGCCTAGAAGAGCAAAGGGGATGCTGGACCTAGTTGGGAAGGGGATTGGTTATAAACTTTGCTTGGCCTGCTGGATTTGATGGCTCATCCTTGTCCATCCTCCTCTCTCTATTAATCCAAAGTTCACTAGAAGTCCTTGCTGAGCAAGGCCCTGGGTCAGTGATTCTCAGTAGTATCTGTTGAAAACCTTTTGAAACATCACTACTTAGACCCCACCCCAGAATAGTTAAATCAATATATCTAGGGGTGGGACTGAGGCATCCACATGCTTTAACCACCACCACTACCCCCCATGCCCGGCCCCGGTCATTTTCATGGGGAGCCAGGGTTGGGAACAACTGCTTCAGACAAAAAGAGAATGTGATAACAACCTCGCTCCTCTAAACATATCGTATGATATTTTTAAAAATAAAACAGTTTTGTCTCAAATTAGTAGCATTTAAGCTTAGATCCTCCTAGATGGTTTTAGTAGCTTCCATGCTTACATTATTTTAGCACAGATCACTGGCTTTGAAGGGTATATGAACATTTATGAACACATGTGAAGGTTATATGAACATTTGGATGGACAGTGAACATGCTCCATTTTCAGACGCGATGGATGTGCCATTGACAGTGAACTTGGTATTCTCTTGTGCTCCTGTCCCTCAGCTTGCAAAAGGCCAGCAGCTTCCTCCACGCCCAGCCCAACACCCCTCCTCCAATCACCGGGCTACTGTTGTATAGCCAGGGGCCTAAACAGCTACAAACTGGGCAACTTCCCCCTTTTTTAGCATCTTCTGGATGATGCAAGCACTCAGTTTCCATATGGGGCTGGTTGTGAGCCAAGAAGAGAGGAAGCACAATCTCTGGAATGGAATGGAGGCATGGGGATTGTTTAACAGCTATCGTGGGATCATCTAAAGCTGTGCTGCCCAATAGAAATATAATGCGAGCTACATACTTAATTCAAAATTGTCTAGTAGCCACTTAAAAAAGTAAAAGTAAATAAGTAAAATTAATTTTAATAATACATTTTATTTAACTCAATATAGCCAAAATATTATTTCAACATGTAAACAATTTAAAACTTACTACATTAAAATTACATTAAGAATTATTACATATTAATGAGAATAATATTAGACTAAAATCACATTTAAATTTATTACATATTAATGACATTTCAGGTACAATTTGTATACTATAAAATTTACTTGTTTTAGGTAAAAAAAAAAAATCAATAATTTTTAGTAAATTTTACAGAGTTGGGCCGGGTGCCGTGGCTCATGCTTGTAATCCCAGCATTTTGGGAGGCCAAGTTAGGTGGATCACTTGAGTCCAGGAGTTCGAGACCAGCCTGGGCAACATGCCAAAACCCAGTCTCTATAAAAAATACCAAAATTAGCCAGGCATGGTAGTGTACACCTGTAGTCCCAGCTACTCAACGGGCTGAGGTGGGAGGATAGTTTGAATCTGGAAGGTCAAGGCTGCAGTGAGCCGAAATTATGCCACTGCACTCCAGCCTGGGCAACAGAGCAAGATCCTGCCAAAAAAAGAAAAAAAGAAAGAAGGAAGGAAGAAAAGAAGGAGAAGAGAAAAGAAAAGAAAGAAAATTACAGAGTTGTGCAACTGTCACCACAATCTAATTTTAAAACATTTTTTATCACCCCAAAAAAAGGCCTTCGGCTCATTTGCAGTCATTCTCAATTCCCATCCCAAGCCCCAGGCAACCCTTAATCTATTTCTTGTCTCTACAGCTGTAAAGACAATAATAAAATACATGGTCTTTTGTGTCTAGCTTCTTTCATTTAGCCTAGTGTTTTTGGCCTTCATATATATTGTATCATGTATCAGTCCTTGGTTCCTTTAGATTGTTGAATAATATTCCATTGCATGGATATACCACCATTGTTTATCCATTCACCAGTTACTGAACATTTGAGTTATTTCCACTCTTTGGCTATTACGTACTGATAAAGCTGCTATGGACAGTCATGTACAAATCTTTATGTAGACATATGTTTTCATTGCACTTGGGTAGCTGTCTAAGAATGGAATTGCTAGATATATGTTAACCACATGCTTAATATTTTAGGAAACTTCAAAACTGCTTTCCAAATAATGAAATATTTTATATATCTTTTTAAAAAACCCAAGGCTTCAAAATCTGGTGTGTATATTATACTTCTAATACATTCATATTAAGACTAGCCACATTTTAAATGTTTAATAGCCATGTGGGGCTGAGGTCACTATGGCACAGAGCAAGTGAAAGTGTTTCTGCCCAGATATCTTATCTAGAATCCCAAGCCAAGTCAGGATAATGTGTGAACTAATACACACACACACACACACACACACACACACACACGTACATGCTCCCCTGTGACCCACACACATCATGAACACAGGCACAGCAGCTCCACCCTCATTACTCTTCATTTATGATTTATTCATTTGCCTTTACAGAATGTTGCAATAATTAGATTGTGCTAAATAAATATGCTTTACAATAATTCATCCATGTCTTCTTGAAACACATTTCTCATGGGATTGAAGGTGATAAATTAACAGAAATATACCCCCCAAAATGAAGATATAGAACCTCATTAAGAGTTGATGGCAAATATTAAGAATGTGGAGAGACAAGGAAGATTAGAAAGCTGAACATATTAAAAACTGTGTCATAATTCTGGAGTTCTCTATTATTTGTCAGTGATGCAGAATTCAGCCCATACGCCTCTGCTGGGCAGACGTTTGGGGCTGCTTCTCCTACCTATTTAATCAGTCCTACTCAGATCCCAAGATGCTTGGTCTCTTGGCTCTCTAAATTTCTAATAAACAGACTTGGATGTAATTCTGAGTCCCCAAAACCACCTACAGAGTGAGGGTCCTAAGGCCATCAGATGGATTCCCTTCAATATACAGATTCCTGGAAAGGCCGTTAAAGCTCAGTTGGGGGCTCTCTGTACCATTTCAGGCAGATAAGCAAAAGTCCATCCAGCACTTCCAGAAACACTTTTTGCCCTCAGATCTGGGTAGACTTGTCTGAACCCTTCAAGGTTCTTCTGTCTGAACCCTTCAAGGTATGTTAGGTACTGGATGCATATTGACTAGAAAGATAACTTGCCCACCTGTGCATGTTTATAGGAGTGTATATGGACAGAAAATTATAGTCTACCCTCTTAAATTTTCATATTTGACTTCTTAAAATAATTGATAGATTATTTCACATTTCTAAACCCCTATAGTCCCTTTCAGTTCAATTCAGGAGTCATTTATGGGTGTCCACCGTATGCCAGAACTGGAATAAATGGTGCAGAGAATGAATGAATGCTGAATGAACAAATGGTAGTTCATGCCTTGGGGAGAAAGAACATGGATAGCTGGAAACACAGGCATACGGTCATAATAACGCACTAAGTTTTAGAAAATATTGCACCCAAAGATTTGGCTACAGGAAAGGGGAATAAGGCCAACTCTGCTTGAGGAAGTTGGAAAAGTCATCCCAGAGGAGGTGACCCTTAAATGGACCTTGAAGGGTGAGCAGATTCCAAGGTAGAGCAGGGGAAGAAGGGCAGAGAGGGTAGGGAGGGGTGTGTGCAAAGGCTTGGTGGCCTTAAGAAGAATGTCGTCCTCAGGTAGCAGTGACCAGTCTTGTGGGTTGGGAGGTGGGCCACAGAGTAAACCAAAGGGTCAGAAAGCAGGGAGCTGTAAAGATAATGTTGGGCCAGGCTAAAGAGTTTGGACTTCATTCTATAGGCAAAACAAAAAGCCACAAAGCTCCAAGGAGAGGCAATGAAGTCACTGGGCCAAGGCCTAACCCTGAGATAAGCAGGAATATATCAGCATGAAACCAGAAAGCCTAATCCAATTCTAACAGTACTGGCCAGGTCTAAAGTTTTCTGTCTCTGTGAGTAATCTCAAGTGTTATAGCACATGCCATAAACAAACAAGTATGTTTGCAAATGAAGGAAAGATCAGCTCTTGATTGAGGACAATCCTGTAGTATGTAGAGATGCCAGAAAGAAGGGAGGACTTTTTACAGAAGATTTAGTTGGTGTCAGTCTTCCAGAAACCAGAAGAGTTTTTAAAGCAAAAGGAATCAAACAAGGAATGCAGTGTAGACATCACTGGCCAGACCTGGAGGAGGAAAGAGACAGCCTTTCATCTCAATAGAGGATTTAAGGGCTCTCAGTCTAGAGGACTCCTTTGCCAGGGCTTCGAAAGAGCGCATGAGTATAAGCTTAGACTCTCTGGAGTCAACTTGGAGGGAGAGGACGGGAGACTAGATACATGCAAATGTCCACCCTAACCCACACCCTAAAATCTCAATCTCCATTATTACTATTATGTGGCACTTAGGACCTATGTATACCTTTTGTTTTGTTCTTGCTTGTTTTCACACTATATTATATATTCCCTGAGGACTAGGAGGGTATATATACCACTTTATACATCCCCCACCCCACTAATATATTGCTATATCTTGGAGGTACTTACAGTCTATTTCTTGACCTATCAATGGGTGTTTCCAATGAAAGAGAATGCATTCATGTAGGACCCTTGGTGTGAAGTTTTGTCTCATGCCCATTTGTTAGTTAAAAGGTCAAAATAAAGGATACTGACCTACCTCTGCTATTTATGCCCAGTGTGGCAACCTTCATATCTCTTGCCAAAAGACCCAGGATCTGAGATCAGTGAGCTCTGAGCCCTGAGCCCTGAGAATCTGGCTGGAATTATTTCAGAAATCGTTCTCTAAGAGAGTATCAGCATTCTTGGCTAGGTTGGAAATACATTTCTCATGACCATTTGGTTCCTGAGAATCAAGCACTTTCAATATGCCTTAGTGTTTCTAAATGTGCTACTTGATTATCTGCTCCAGGCTGCTTAAGAACAGAATTTAGAGCAAGGTCTCAATTTCAGAGTGATGCTTAGTTCCCTTATTCTTTTATTTTTTCCATTAAAAATTGTTGCATTTGCTTTTTTCATCTATCAGTCAGTCAGTGAACATCTGCCTGTTCAGAACCTACACAGTACTAGAGAACAAAATATATGTGGTTTTATTACACATTTGTGTGACAAATGTTTCTATGCATAGACAGACCACTTTCTTTAAGAAACATTGTAGAAAAGAGTCTGATAATGAAGCTAAAGTATTTGTAGAGATATTTTTGATTTCACAAGTTAGTATTATTAATAAAAGGAGAAAAATCAAAATTTGGAAATATAATTTACTACAAATTGTCTGGAGGAGAAATATTTACAGCTTATGACACAGACTGAATAGTGTAAGCTTATAAACACCAAATGGAGGCTACCTCATGGCCCTTGAGGGCTAGTAATAAGCCTTGAGAAACCTAGAAAATGTCATCAGTATATACCTGTGCAGGTAGAATATTGATCAGAAAACCCTAAGCTAAATGTCACTTCCACATTTAAATGAAACCTGGATGGTTCTCACAGGCCCCACTAAAATCAATAGCAAAACCCTAAGGCTTCTTGATAATAGCTTCTGTATTTAAATGAGAGTGAATTCATGAAATCACAGTGGCCACCTTTCTATTTGCCCTGCCTTACCTGCCACCATTCAAGTCCTTATATAGAGACTACAACCTTGAGAATTGATTCTTGCTACATTTCTTGTATCCCTCGTCATTGAAAGTTGTCTTGACAGTAACACAAATCCTCAAGACAGTCTTGTTTGCAATAGTAAGGACTGTGATGACAATAATAACAGGAGTGAACAGTTCTTGAACCCTTGCTGAATGCCACACAGTGTGCTAAGCATTTTACATGGGTTTCCTCCGTGAGACTTCTCCATAGTTCTACAAGAGAGTCCTGTCACTGTCCCTATTTCATAGACACTTTAGAAACGCTACATGCCTTGTCCTACAGTAAGATCACACAGCAAGTAATGGCAGAGCCAGGACTTGGCATAGGTGGTCAGAGCTCTGAACAGTGGGGAAATAACCCCCTAGGCTGCGGCATCTCCCAGATAGGCTCTGCAGATACTAGTTGGGCTATCACAGGTACAAATTCCTGATGCCAGGTTTGGCTTGGGGTGCATTTTGACCATCTCCTCACTGAGGGGGCATACAGATGCTCAGGATTTCAAATCCAGCCTCTTGAATGTTCGGATCCTTGAGCCTGGCATTTTAGATTGTTTCTTTCTACACAAGATTATACTTTTAACAGTCTGAAAGACATTTTTTCTACCACAACCAAAATTTTTGTCTAAGTCATGTTTATAAATATTTAACAGTTATCTTTTTCCTTTTCTTTAGTCCTAAACAACTGACCATTTTTTTCACTCTGTTTTCTCTTCTGATTTTCAAAGTTCAAGCATTTCTGCTTTCCAAAGAAATTGGGAGTCTGCCCCTATTTATTTACCATCACTACCTGCAGCCATTAGGATGTAAGATGCAAGATACCAGCTGTATCTTCAGGCTCGTTCAATTGAGGTCATTTCACTATCTGCTTCTTCAGTTGGGCTTTTGTTACAGAATTTATGAATTGAAGTCAATATAAATCATATTCATTAAATCCAAACCAAGGGAAGGGGAAGGAGAGAAAGGTGGAGGGCAGGGGTGGAGAGAACAGACATCAATTTCCACTTACAGAAATGGACAGAGCAAATACTCACAGATTGACTGTTCCCAATTAAACAGTCAGAACTAGATTTAAATTTAATCCCCATATTTCCATGACTGGGGAGATTACCCAGTAAATTTCAGCAGCCCAGCCTGAGGTCCTCAAAAAAAACTCAAATGCCCACAGCAGCCTAGCAGGTAAAGTAAATGAGTGAAGTGGGCCAATGGTAAGATGATAAATGGCCACTGACCCTCAGCCTCAGTGAGGGGGACATTAGGAAATTGTGGGGACTATGGGGAATTGGAGAGACATGGCCATCTGAGGGGGTAGTGTTACAGGAAAGGGGTCCCCATGCAGAACCCAAGAGAGGGTTCTCAGATCTCATACAAGAAGAATTCAGGGTGAGTCCATAGAGTAAAGTGAAAGCAAGTTTATTAAGAAAGTAGAAGAATAAAAGAATGGTTACTCCATAGACAGAGCAGCCCTGAGGGCTGCTGTTGCCCTTTTTTAAGGTTATTTCTTGATGATATGCTAAACAAGGGGTAGATTATTCATGCTTCCCCTTTTTAGACAATATAGGGTAACTTCCTGATGTTGCCCTGGCATTTGTAAACTGTCATGGTGCTGGTGGGAGTATAGCAGTGAGGATGGCCAGAGGCCACTCTCGTCACCATCTTGGTTTTGGTGGGGTTGGGCTGGCTTCTTTACTGAAATGAAACCTGTTTTATCAGCAAGGTCTTTATGACCTGTATCTTGTACTGACCTCCTATCTCATCCTGTGGCATAGAATGCCTGAACTGTCTGGGAATGCAGCCCAGTAGGTCTCAGCCTCATTTTACCCAGACCCTATTCAAGATGGAGTTGCTCTGGTTCAAACACCTCTGACAGTAGCAGGTATTCAAATCCAGCCATTTATTGCCACCAAAAAAGAAACAATAGGCCCAACATTGCCAGATCTTCCTTCCCTTTTCCAAATCCAGAACAGCTCCAGATATTCAAGTGGTTACTGTTTCCTGACTTTTAAGCATTGAAGACCAATCCAAATCTAAAAGTCAGTGCAGACCAAGCCTTTGGCCAAATGAAAACCCATCCAAGAACAATCAATGTGCTCTGAAAGGCTGACAATTTGCAAGCTCTTTTCTAAATCTTCTTCTCCCAGCCTTGCTATTGTTTTGCAATTTAGATCTCACTTAAAATTTAGGGCTTTTTTCTCTCTCTAGCTCTAATAGCTAAGGAAGTCCTAAAGAAAGCTCAATTTACAACACAAAGTTAGTGACTCTTTACAAAGGTTTTCCCTTTTTCCCCCCACTTAATGATATCTATGAATATAATTATGCTTAAAATTTCCAGCCAAAGATCCATAAAGCAAGGTATACCTTTACAGTGACTATTTTTGTCACATATTAATGAAAGTAATACTATGGAAAGCTATTACAGACACTCAAGTTCATAAATATAAAAAGGCAAATCAGTAAACTTCATATATAAGATTTGATAGCATAAAATTGTCCAAATTGTTTACATTAAAAACAAAACTAAATGGCAAAGGACACATGGAATAATTTCTTTTAGCAAATATAATAGATAAAGGGTTAATTAAGAGCCTAGTTTTAAGAAGTTCTTACAAATCAACAAGGAAAACACTAAGCCTCCAATAGATAACTGAACAAAAAAAACAGACAATTCACAAAAGATGAGAAGCAACTAATTAAAGAACATATGGGGAAATGACTCAACCTCACTAGTAATTAAAGACATGCAAATTGAAACAACAAATATAATTCCCAGTTCAGACAGGGGTGCAATGAAACAGGTACTGCCGTGCATTACTGATAGACAAAATATAAAGCCTCATCGGTAAGCAATTAGCTAATATAAATCAAGAGTTCAGTTCTATTAGGCAATATTGAGCTTTTTCTATGCGCTAGGCATTGAGTGTATGCAAATGACAAAAACCCACCCCTGCTGTCAAGGAGTGAGCATGTTTCATGAGAGAGACAGACACAGGTAACTCCATTATTAGGAGGTAAATGTCAGAAGCATTCACACATGTGGCAAATGCAGGAGTAAAGCCAAAGAGTTTGGAAGGTATCTTAGTCGATTTGTGCTGCTACAACAAAATACCTGAGACTGAATGGTTTATAAACAATTGAAATTTTATTTCTCGCAGTTCTGGAAGCTGCAAAGTTCAACATCAAGGCACTGAGACCGTTAGTGTCTGGTGAGGGCTGCTCTCTGCTTCAAGATGGTGCCTTGCTGTTGTGTCTTCAGATGTCAGAAGGGGCTAAGGGAAAAAGGAGGCTAAGCTAGTTCCCTCCAGCCTTTTTACAAGGCACTAATTCATTCATGAGGGTGGAGCCCTCATGACTAAATCGCTTCCCAAAATGGCCTCTCTTAATACCACCACAATGGAAATAAAGTTTCAACATGAGTTTTGGAAGAGACACATTTACACCATAGCAAGAGTTTTATTTGAAATGATCCTGAGCTGAATCTGGAAGGATGATTAGAATTTCGCTGAATAAAGAAGGGAAATAACAGGAAGAGAAGATGAGGAGGCTTTCTCAGCATATGGCACAGCATGGATGAAGGCATGGTGTCTACAAGAACTGTGGGGGCATTGAGAACAGCTTCAGAAGCAAGTGTGAGGTGGACAGGCAGGATGGGAGGCTGGAGAGGGAGCCCAGGCAGCCCATGCTCTGGTAGTGTGAACTTTTTATCCCAGAGGCAGATTGAGATACGGAAGCAGGGAATGGATACAATCCGATGTTTACTTTTTAAAATTCTGCACAAAAGTCACTGTGGTTTGTTTTTCTAATTCAAGAAGTGACAGATAAAAGCAAACAACCCAACTAAAAAATGGGCAAGGGACTTGAGTAGACATTTCTCCAGGGAAGATATGCAAATGACCAATAAGCACATAAAAATATGCTCAACATCATTAGTCATTAGGGAAATGCATATCAAATCAACCATGGGATACCACTTCGCATCCATTAGTTTGTCTATTATTTTTTTAAAGTAATACAACAAATATTGGTGAGGATGTATGGAGAGAAATTAGAATCTTTGTGTATTGCTCGTGGGAATGTAAAGTGGTGTAGTTGCCATGGAAAACAGTCTGGTGGCTCCTCACAGGGTTAGACATAGAAGTATCACATGACCCAGCAATTCCATTCCTGCATATACACCCCCAAAAATTCAAAACAGAGACTCAAACATACTTGTACACCAACATTCATGGCAATATCATTTACATTAGTCAAAAGATAGAAATAACCCAAATGTCCATCAGCAGATGAATGGATAAACGAAATGTGGTATACACATACCATGACCTTAAAAAGGAAGGAAATTCAGATACATGCTGTGAAATAGATGAACTTGAAAACATTGTGTTAAATGAAATAAACCAGACCTGAAAGGGCAAACATCATTTGACTCCAATTTTACAAGGTATCTAGAATAGGCCAATTCACAGAGACAGAAAGTAGAATAGAGGTTACCAGGTGCTGAGGGGAGGGATTAATGGAAAGTTATTGTTAAGTGAGTACAGAGGTTTTGTTTGGGATGGTGAAAATATCTAAAATTGGGTTGTGATGATAGTTGCACAACATTGGGAATGTACATAATGCCACTGAATGGTATACTGAAAAATGGTTAAAATGGTACATTTTGTGCTGTGTATATCTTATCACTGTAAACAGTATTTTTTTTTAAGTAGCAGGTGTTTTGGAAAATTCAAGAAAGTGTAAAGAAAAATATTCTAACCTCCAGAGTTACCCATTTTACATTTTGGTGAATTTTCTCAAGTTGTTCTGTGTGTAGAGTCATATATTTATTAGATTTTGCTAGACTGAGGTCACACTATCCATGCTGTTTTATAACTGCCTCTCTCTTCTAATGAGAGCTTATGAACTTCCTAGTTGTTTATACAGCATGGTGGTTAAGGATGTAAGTCCTGGAGAAAAACCACCAGGGTTTTTTTGTCTTAGTTCTATTGCTTACTCAGTTATCAGCTTTGTGGCTATGGGAGGTCACCTAACCCTCTAAATTTGTTTCTTCATCTGTGTGAAAGAGACAGTAATAATAATACCAAGCACATGCATAGTTCAGGATTAAATTATATCCTAAATATATATATAAGCACAGTGTCTGGTACTCAGTAAAAGAAAGCTATTGTTATTAATATTTAAAAATCCTCACCTATTCTTCCAGAGAATAATTTTAATGACTCCATGAAGTACTTTATTATGTGGATACACCATACTTTACATAACTAATCTTATGTATTGAACATTTACCATTTCTAAATATTTACTCCCGTAAATAATGCTGGGAAACTTTGCAAACATGTCTTTAGAAATAACTCCATTTCTTTAAAGCAATTCCTAGAAAGGAAATTATTGGGTAAAAGAATATGCACAGTTTAAGGTTTTTAAACTGTACATATTTTGGTGGACTATCTTCCAGAAAGAGTATGATATTCACAGAAGCAGGAGAACAACTTTATCAATAGCAAGAAACTGGAAACAACCTAATTGTTTAAAACAACAGATTAAATGTGATGTCCAGTTATTGGACTATTACACAAATATTTATAAATATGTTTGCAAGTCCTACATAAAAACATAGAGGATGCTTACGACAATGTTAAGTGAAAGAATAAGAGAAAAAAATATTTTAAATTTTTAAAATCCTATGCAGGTGGTGAAATAAAAAACCAAAATGGAATGGTTAATTGGTAGGACTACAGATAAATTTTTTCTTACCATTTCTTTTCTAAATTATATTTAATGCACATAAACAAGATTGATAACAAAGGAAAAATAATTTTCCTGGGAAAGTATTATTTGTCCCTATATTTGAAAGCTTTCATTGAGATGTAGTCTGACATTGCAAGTAGAACTTTAAATAAGCACCCATGATAACAAAGCCCAAATTTCAATTTTCTGGTTGAAAATTTTCAGATACAAAGTCACCTTCTTCAGCCTTATCTATGTATTCAAAAACTGTAGAGATTGGAGATTTCTGCCATATAGTGTTGGAATCAGCAACAAGATCAGACAGCCATTATTTCTCAAAGGAAATGAATCTAAAAAGACTCTAGAAATAAAAGCAATATACCATCTCTCAAACAGAGTCCAGCTGCTTTCATAAAGGCCAAGGTCCAGGGAAAGGCTCTAGCTGTCTAGTCATCTTCATGGAGCTCCTGGGCTCTGGGCCCCTCAGTCTACACCATCTTGAGCTGATAGGCAAGTTAATTGATATCTCCGAGTCTCAGTTTTCTCAACTAAAAAGTAGGTTTAATAATCATATAACTACCTTACAGGGTTGTTGCAAATTAAAATGCAGTAAACCTTGCAAAATGTTAACATATTGCTCGGGACTAATAGGCACTGGATAAGCATTAGCCATTATTATTATTATCGTCATACACTAGTTTACTTGCTGTTGTTAAAGATAAGAACAGCAAGGCCTAGGGAGATGTGACTTGTCCTAGTTTAGCGGGAAGAGCCATAGATTTGTAAAGGGACCTGAATTGTAATAGTAATTGAAGCACTTTTTTATCCAGGGGCTTAGGGCAAGATACTTAATCCTTAAAGTAGTGCTAATAGAAATACAATATGAGCCAAAAATGTCCTTTTGGATTTTCTAGAAACCACATCATAAGAAGTAAAAAGAACTTCATTTTAATAAACATTTAACCCAAGAGATCCAATATTTTCATTTTGACTTGTACTCAATATAAAAATTATTAATAAAACATTGTATGTCTTCTGTACTAAATCTTTGAAATCCAGTATGCATTTTATACTGATAGCCATTTCAGTTTAGAGACTAAATTTTCATCTGAAATACTTGAGATGTATTTTATAAAATTTATTCTTGGAAAATCATATTCACATACCCAAGTTGTTCCAAACATATTTTTCCAATAACTGAATTAAGTTTCAGTACTTAAACTTAAATTAATTAAAATTAAATAAAATAAATTCAGTTCTTCAGTCACGTCAGCCACATTTCAAATACTCAAAAACCACATGTGGCTATTGGCTGCCATTATTAGACACACAACTACAACTGGGGATAGCATCTATTTCACTGGGTTGTTCTAAGATTGCATGAGAGAGTTTTACAAATCATAAAACGCTGTCCAAATAAATTACTTCTCCTCCAAGGTCACCCAACTAATGAGAGGTGGCTCAGGAACAAGAATCAGGCCAATGTGATTTCCACATATGGACATTTGAAATTTGAACACTACTCATCTTGAACCTGGCTTTCAATCTTTTTAAAACTGTGATTCACAGTAAGAAATATATTTCACATCACAATGAAAGACACATACACCTGTGCATGTGTGTGTCCGTGTGTGTGTGCGTGTGTGTGTGTGTGTGTGTGTGTACCTGTAGATCAGCAGCCACTGTTATTTCCCAAAAGAGAGTTACAATGAGGATATTTTATAAATTAATTCTGCTTCTTCCTCCTGCTGGTCTTCTCCTCCTCCTCCTTCTCCTCCTCTCTGTTTAGTGCTGGTCATGACCCACTAAATTGATTTCATGGCCCATTAATGGGTTACAAACCACAAGTTGAGAAACACTGATCTTAAGAGTCCAAACTTCAAGGCATTTTAAAAATTGATTTGTTTTATGTTGCAAAGAGTAACCCTCTGTAGCCACTCGTCATAATGTTCAAAAAGGAAAAACATCCCCCCCAAGGTAAATAAGAAATATGACACTGCTTTAGATAAGATATAAGAAAATAAGTGAGTTGCCCACTTTTTTGTTAAATATTATTAATTTATTCATTCAGCAAATGTTTATTGAAGAAACACTGTACTTGGCATTGCACCAGGTACTAGTGAGCCCCGGCCCAAGACAGGCGGGATCCCTGTGCTTATAGAAGTTCAGCTCCAAAACAACAGAAGCCTTCGCTGCGATGACTTAGCCAGATAAGGATCTTGGGTGTTTTGCTGTGTGTTTCCCACAAGAAGAGCGGAGACAGGCAGTTCAGCACTGGCATAGATATCCAATGACACCATTAGTGACTTAACTCTTTTTTTTTTTTTTGAGACCGAGTCTTGCTCTGTCGCCCATGCTGGAGTGCAGTGGCATGATCTTGGCTCACTGCAACTTCCACCTTCCGGGTTCAAGCGATTCTCCTGCCTCAACCTCCGGAGTAGCTGGGATTACAGGTGCACGCCACCACGCCCGGCTAAGTTTTTGTATTTTTAGTAGAGACAGGGTTTCACCGTGTTAGCCAGGACGGTCCCAGTCTCCTGACCTCGTGATCCGTCTGCCTTGGCCTCCCAAAGTGCTGGGATTACAGGCGTGAGCCACCGCGCTCGGCTGTGACTTAACTCTTATTACTTTACTAGTCCACATCCCATGTTGTCAATCCCTGGTTACAAGACAGCTGCCACACCTCCAGGCATTATGTTCATATTCTAGGCAAGAAAAAGAAGAAAGAAGCAGAAAGGGGAAACTTTCCCCACAGTTCCCCGCACCAGAGGGCTGCCAGATAAAACACAGGATGTCCAGTTAAATGTGAGTTTCAGATGAACAACAAAATTGTTTTTTAGCATAAGCATGTCTCATGCGATATTTAAGATATATTTTCACTAATAAAATTGTTCGTTATTAATGTGAAATGCACATTGAACTGGGTGTTCTATATGTTTATTTGCTGAACCTGGCAACCATACGAGCATAATTCTGCTCACATTTCACCACCAGAACTGTGTCACATGGCTGTTCCTATCTGCAAGGAAGCCTGGTTAAATCAAGTCTTTTTTTTAAACTTCCAGTCTCAATAAAAGAAGGAGGCAAGAGAGAAGGAAGTTGGTTGGGGACCTGAGTGAGCCAGCCTATGAAATCCACCGCAGTTCAGTTCCCCTCTGGCCTTTCTTATAGATCATATTATGGAATTTGTTTTTGTTTTTGTTTGAGACAGAGTCTCACTCTGTTGCCCAGGCTAGAGTGCAGTGGCACGATCTCTGCTCACTGCAACCTCCGCCTCCCTGGTTCAAGCGATTCTCCTGCCTCAGCCTCCTGAGTACCTAGGACTACAGGCGCACGCCACCATGCCCGGCTAATCTTTTGTATTTTAGTAGAGATGGGGTTTCACCATGTTGCCCAGGCTGATCTCGAACTCCTGAGCTGAGGCAATCTGCCCACCTCGGCCTCCCAAAATGCTGGGATTACAGGCATGAGCCACCTCGCCTGGCCCCGTATTATGGAATTTCTGTTTTAATCTGTATTCAGTGAGAAGGAATTGAAGAGTTTAAAAGAAGGGAAGGATAACCTAAATTAAATGTAAGAAGATGGTTCTGACTTCTGTGTGTAGAATGTATGAGGAGGAAGTTTAGACCTGAAGTGAAAAGATCTGTTAGAAGCCTAGAACATTCTAGAACCTTTGAGAACTCAGCCTAGCCATCTTGCCATGCAGATACCTCAGCTTCCTGCATGTGCATTGACTCTTCCGAAAAATGAAGAGGAATGGGTGAGAGGCCCATGGGTGCTCCATGCAGCTCTCCCAGAGTGGCAGCAGGTGACAAACAGTGATGCATTCTCAGCTTCCCTTTGCTTCTCAGCTGCATGGCTTGGTTATTAACATCCACCCACGTTCCATGCTCCTTCTTCAGCAGCGGGTATCTGAGAACCACAGTAGATGGAACATCAGAACTTGTTATAATAAGGTTGAGATTTTATGAGACTCCTGCAAGGAAATGGGCAAAAAATTGCTTTTTAAAATATTTAATTAAAAAAATCAATGGAATGCCCAGAGAAAGCAATAAAAGCCGCTACCTCTTAGCAAAAATTTTAAAAGTAACATAGAAGATGTTTATCCCTTGACATCTGGGACTTAAAGCAAAAATTGAACAATCCGATTCCAGAGCTAAAAAACCCACGTGGGAAAGGGAAAACCTGACTTTGTGCTTCTCTCTCTCTCTAGTGGGTTTTGTTCCACTGAAGGCACCCTGGTCGCCCAGCTCCCTCCCTTCCGTCCTCCTCCTCCAGCAGGTGCTTTTATCTCTCCTTCCTCCTGTTTCTCATTGAATTAAATCAATTCTTTAGTTTTCATTTTGTTCCCCTTTCTCCTTCTAGTCAGATCAAGTGCTTTTCTATTTTCCTTGAGGATTACCAAAATGAGCTCTTAGGGAAAAAGGATTTCTCAGCACTTTGTCTTCTGTTTCTTTCTATTTATTTGCTTTGCCTTTTATTATCTTTTTTTGCTGACACCCCAGGGCACGCATGCAGTATGTAGAGATTATTGGCTCTGCCCCTTTTTTCTAAATGAAATCCATTGATGTAAAAGAAAAAAACCACCTTTGTGTCTCACCTAAAAATGAGGTGAGATCTAACAGGGTCAGATTTTAACAGGGTCAGAGATCTAAAAGGGAATATATAAAAACGTACTCCTCCACACATAGACATACA
Organism: Homo sapiens; assembly: GCF_000001405.40. Taxonomy (NCBI): domain Eukaryota; kingdom Metazoa; phylum Chordata; class Mammalia; order Primates; family Hominidae; genus Homo; species Homo sapiens. Next base: position 29,546,102 of record NC_000002.12, on the reverse strand, counting down.
TATACATCCGTACATATGTGTATGTTTATGTGTATCCATCTATTGATGTACACGTATATACGCACACACACATACGCGTATTTTACTACACACACACATGAGCATAAATATATATTATTTCTAGGGAACTTCTGCCTCAGTTAAGTAGGACCCGAAAGGTTGTTTTGCCTTTTCAGTTTGCAGAGGCTCCTAATTGTGCAAATTGTACTACTACTTCTAGGCTACAACTAACTCATTATCTTAAGATTAATAATACTATCAAGAAAAATCAACTCCCTCTACTCCCCTTCTCTCTCTTAATGAACACACTTGGTTTTTCTAATGATTCAGTCTCAAAAACGAATACCATTTCTCTTCAAAGTGCTTCCGAATGAAGGTGCAGAAAAGCAATACATGTAAGTCCTGGTGGTGGAGAGTAACAGAGCTAATTCCAAATATTTGACATCGAGACAGAGGGAGACAGTAAAAGTGCACAGGGACTGAGTGCCCACATGGCTCAGCTCTGCTATGGAAGCCAGGCATAGCCCTTCACCCACTGGACTGTTTCCTCAGCTGCAAGGTGAACAGGTTGGACCAAATGATTTCCAAGAGCCTCTAGAGCTTTGAAGTTCTGTCTTTCCATTATCTCAATATTAGGCAAAGCATGCCAATGAGCACGGTCCCACCTCCTCTTTATTCTAAATGTCAAAATTCTGCTCTAACAACTAAAACATGAGTTGAGGCTACACAGGATAGTAGAATTCAAGTTTGAAAAATAAACAATAAGGAGCCTCTTTCAGTGGCCCCAGTTTGCTTTGAACAATTCATAAGACCACATGAACAAAGGAAACCCTCAAATACTGCTCAGCCATGGTGAGGCCATCTAAGCCCTGTGAGTGATTTCAAAAGGAGGACCCACTGTCTGGGTCCCACCTGCCCATGCGTTAGTCTGTGACCTCTGGGGACAGTCAGAAAGAAGAGCTTGAGACCAGCTGCTGGGCCTGATCCACAGAGTGGTGAGAGTGCTGAAAAGTGAAAGGAACATCTGCAGGCATCTGGGGACCAAACCACAGGGCATCTGACTGAAACACCTTCGTAGATTTCTATCATGGACAGGCATATACCCAGTGAGTGTTCTACTGGACAGAAGTCTGGAAACCTTGCTTCTAATTGCAGATCCACCACCAATATGCTGTGTGACCTTGGGCAAGTCCTGAACTTCTTTGCTTCTTGGTTTTCTCCCCAGTACAACAAGCGATTAAGCTACGTGACAATCATGTTTATGTCTAGTTACGACATTCTGAAAGCCAGATATGGAATGTAGCATTTTTAAGTCTCCTCAGGTAGCGAGACCAGTGCAGTAACTCAGAGGAGGTTTCCAGGAGCGTGATTCTGCCAGAAGGAGCTGAGGTCTTATGAAAGGACAGTTTGAAAGTCAGACAAGCAGAAAAGACTTGAGAGATGATACAGATATAGATATAGATTAGACATACACATAGATATTTATATAGATAGATATGGATAAGGATATGTTGTTTCTCCTTTTTTTCCATGATTTCTTCCTTTCCTATTTTCTGCAAACGGTCTTTGCAGCAGAAATAGATTAGAGGAGGGTATCCAAAGTGTGTTCCATAGAACATTATACACAGTAACAAAAGGGTTCTGTGCACAAAGGAGTTTGGGAAATGTTTCATTTTATATTCCACTCTTGAAGAGCCACAACTCTTATTGGCATATCAAGGCTCTGAGAAGTCTTCAGTGAAAGAGCCTGTTTACTTCTTGTTGTACCCAGGAGTCCCCAGACTCATTCGCCCACAGAGCCTTCTCATAATACCTGTTGACATCCATGGGGCTGGTGTTCTGCGGAAGGTACTCTGGAGTTGGCACAGCATTATTCCCCAACACTGATATCTCGGGGCATGCATCTGGGTGAGGCCTGCATGCATTACACTGCACTCCTTCTGTCCAGATTCCAACCCATTAAACCTCTGCTTTTCCTTAGTTCCCACCTAACATGAGTGGCATTGTGATCAACTGAAAGAGTAATAGCAGATAATAATGATTTAATAGTTTATTGTACTATGGACAATTAGCCAATGATGCCTGGATCCTGTTTGATTGATTGAGATGGAAATCCATCCATCCATGCATGTGTGTATTTATGTTCTCACTCAGAGAATATGATTAAGAGGCCTCTGGTTCAGAAAAGTGGATTGAACATTTGTCTCCTCTTTTAAGATCCCACTGAAGTTATATTAAATAGAGAACTATCAACGGAGGAACAAATTCTGAATAGCAAACAGAGCAGGAGGGGAGGCATGAGCAATTTCTAGAGCACATAGAGGAGACAGAAGCTGTCCATGGAAAAACAAAGTGGCCAGAGCCCAGAATGTGCCAAAAAGGTTTAGAATAGAGGAGGTGTCCTATCTGCTGAGAGTGCAGGTAAAAGATCACCTGAAAGAAAGGATGAAGGTAAAGAAGAAGAATGGAAATTTCTCTATGGTTAACCCAGATGGCCTTCATTCCTTTTTCAATATCATTTTCCCAAAGCAGAGGGTAGCAGGATGCTTAACCATAGGGCTAGGAAAAAGCCTCTAAAACTTCAAGTGGAGTGATAGACTTATGGCTGCTAGTGGGAGTGTTCATACTCAGGGTGACGTGCCCTTTGGGCTGGCACTGGGAAGCAGTCACCTGCAAAATGGCTTGCTCCTGAAACTGTCCATCAGGCAAATTATGCATAAAGGACAAACACCATCTGTACACATATAGCTCCTGTTAGCCTCCCTAGTCTCTCCTGTTTAAATGTGAGGGACTGATCAATGATCACTCAACATGTGAATAATCCAGCAGCATGAAAAAGAAAGATCATGCATAGCAAGACAGCCTTTTCTTGCCATATGTTTCCTCCCCTCACCCTTCCATAATCTGCTGCCACCTCTCCCCAGGAGCTCCAAGCCTCTGTTCATTTCTGCATAGTATAAAAACTTCTGTCCTCTGGTCCTTCAAGTCTCATATTTTGTGTGGCTCCCATGCATTTGCACATAAATAAATTTATATGCTTTTTCTTCTGTTAAAAGAAGAAGAAAAGAGAAAAAGAAAGATCAATATATATAAAAAAAGCTGACCCCAGAGAAAACAAAGATAAATCAGATAACTAACAGAAGCTAACTTGAAAGATAAATCTCTTAAGAAAGATTCAAGATTAAGCATGGGGTAATTAAATTATCAGAGAAATAATAAAACAAGATTTGCTAGAGATGAAAGAGGCATGTGTTTTCTGATTGACAGAGGCCAGCAAATGCCACGGATAAATTTTTGTACAGATCTGTAGCTATATGCATTGCAAAATGCCACGGATGAATTTTTATCTAGATCCCTACCTAGATACAATGTATTGAAATTTTAGAACTTTAAAGTTAAAGAAAGATCCCAAAAGCTTCCAAATAGGAAAAACAGATCAATTACAAAGAAATTACAAATAAAACCAGCGTTAGACTTCTTCTTAGTAACACTGACACTAGAAAACGCTGAAACTAGGTCTTCAAATTTTTGAGGCAAAGTTTCTAATCTGCAAACCATAACCAGAAAAGCTACCAACCAAATGTAAAGATGAAATAAACATTTCAAATATTCAATGATTCACTAAGAAATTTCCCCCTGAAGAAGTTTCCTGAGGATGGTGGGACTAACATAAAAGTCCCAGTGAAAAGAAATTTCAGAATAATAGCTGTACCGTAGGCCCAGAAAGCAACTGATACAAATTAAAAGAGGAAATCAGTGTCTTCAAGACGAAGGGAGTAATTTTTTCAAGGAGTATATGGATGTGTTAGTGATATGGTAAAGAAGACAGATATAAAATAAATAGAAAAAAATCAGCTAGAAATTCCTGGAAAGACAAACTGAAAAAAAACAAAACAAAACAAAAACTGATTCTGTGGGGACCGAGGGAAAACTTTCCCTTTGCCCTCCCTCTGAAGGTTCATGGAAAAATTAACCCACAAAGGGCAGATTAATTGGAGAAAAAGCACACCAATTTATTAATGTGCACACAAAGGAAAGTCACAGAGTGATTAACCCACCCCTCAGTGGGATGCAGAAGCTTATTTGCCATCTTGAAGTTACAAAAAGAATGGGGACTTGGAGTATGGCCAAAACAGGTTATAGTTGCAAGACAGGTTATGGGAGGAAGGGAAGAGGAGGCTTGGCTAGCAATGGTGGTCTTGTTATGTAGATGAAATCTCACGGTAGCAGCTTTCAAATAGAATAAATAATAAATGTATTTTTCAGACTTTTAAAGGTATCAACCTCTCCGTTAATTTTTCCTAGCTCTGGACAAGGGAAGAGCTGGTTGCATCAGTGCAGATTTTCTACAGATGCAAATCTGCCCCACAAAAGACAGCTTTGCAGGAATACTTTTGTTTTCTGACTCTCCAAGCAGCCATTTGAAAATATGTCAAATAGATATAGTTTGGGGTAAAATATTTTTATTTCCTTCAGTCCCCACTTTGAAGCCTTAACAAGTTTCACATGTTTGGCCATGTGTGGTGGCTCACACCTGTAATCCCAGCACTTTGGGAAGCTAAGGCAGGTGGATCACTTGAGGTCAGGAGTTCAAGACCAGCCTGTTCAACATGGTGAAACCCCATCTCTAGTAAAAATACAAAAATTAGCTGGGTGTGGTAGTGAGCCTGTAATCCCACCTACTCAGGAGGCTGAGGCAGGAGAATTGCTTGAACCTTCATGGCAGAGGTTACAGTGAACTGAGATGGTGCCACTGCACTCCAGAGCAAGACTCTGTCTCGAACAAAAAATGTTTCACATATTAAAAGCCAAGTTGATAGCTTTGGAGAGGTTTGGGTTAGAGATTATTAGAGATAGACAAAAGAGTGGAAAACAAATTGGGATATGCAGAAAAGAATACATTTAAATATACCATCCCATCTCTCTTTAAATCAGTCTTTTAGTCCTGAGAATAGATCAGTTTGGTTAAACAGTTGTGTCCCATTCCAGGAGGTGGCATTGCAGGTAGGCTAGGCTCTATATATGATGCAGGCAAACAGATCATAAATAAAAGGTATTTCTATGGAAACAGGGAAAAAAGGCTAATGTCTGGAATAGTCTATAAACTACTTTTTTTTTAGAGTCTCTGAAGCATCTTCAGATTTCAGTGACAATCTGACACATATTTCTGGATTGTAGTTTGAATTGGGTGTTTAAACGAACTTTGTGAGTTCATGTATTACTGGCTGTTTATATATAATTTGCTGTGGTAATTTTTCTTGAAGGTTATTTAAGTGGCCTATCTTTAGTTTGCAGGGTTATAAGAAAAGCACAGTTTTAATTTCTAATAATTTCAAGTTAGAAAAATGGAAGAAAATTTGAAAATGTTATTTTTGGAGACTTGTAGCCAAGAAAGAAGTCAGGATTCAGTCTACATTGTGAGAAAATAATAAAAACTCAAAAATAATGGACAAGGCTGGAATCTCATAACAGAGTTATGAGGAGAAAAACCTATAGGGTTTTTTTTTTTTAAAAAAAAAAAACATAATTCTTCTCTTTAGTCCTTTATTTCTACCAAAGACAAATAATGGTATGACAAACTTATTTGCAAAATAAGTATTAGTTTGATAATATTTGGCCTGATTATTCATATAAAGCATAGCAAGAACGGTGATTGGTCATAGAGGCTCTTATAAGTTAGCTTTGTTGGAACTTTTTTACAAGGAATCTAAGATTAGACTTTTTAAAACCTCGAGGCTAGAAAGCCAAGCCAAGGATGTGCCACTTATCTATATCTGTAATACCTGTACAAATTGGGTGAATTTTTCCCTTCTCAAGGTCTTAAAATATCTTGAGGTTTCTGGGCCTGTCAGAAAGTGACATCTTTTACTTACCACAGGTCAGGAACCCTATAAAGAAACTGTGTAGAAAAGATATCAGGTCAGACTTTTTAAAGGGCTTCTTATCAGCTCAATAAAGCCAATCTAAATTCCTCAAAGCAGTCTGATCATATTTGAAAATATACCATTTCAGTCAAGGCCTTGGTAAAATAACCACTATATCCAATAACCACTATATCCACTATTAACTACTATATCCACTATTTTGTCCTACAAAAGAAAACAGATTCTAACTGAACTTGCGTAAATAACTATATTGCCATAAATTAAGAATACTCACAACTTTTCAAAATTCTGGAGAAATCAGGTAAAGAAAAAACTAAATGTTTTAATTTTGCTCACAAAACTATACTTTACCCAGTTGTTGTTGTAAGCTCTAAGTAGCTCAAAAGAAAAAGTTTTCTTAACTTTAGACAATAAAGCATAAAAAGAATCAACAATGTTTCAAACAAAAAGAAGTCATTAGAAATTATTTTAGTCCTTTATTAGTTCAGTCCCATGTAATTAATTCTTGTCCCACTTGATGTTGTGTTGGCAATTTTCATGAACACTTCAGATTATTAAAATTAGAGTCTTGAACTTTTTTTACCTAGTCGAATGATATGATCTACCCTGTGCTCAAGAGAACCTGTCAGAGTCCTTTCAATGAATTACCTTAAAGAGGAAGCAAATTTTGGACAGTAGCTGATTACAAACCTTTTTTTGAGAATAATCAAAGTAAAACAATAATTGTCTGTAGATTAAAGAAAGACAGAAATAGCTATACTTAAAGACACAACTGGCAATGAAATTTGGTTATTTTTGTGGCACACGACAATTTAACATAATAATCTTAATTATTGCTGATAACATATACCAAGACTTATTTCAAATATGAGACAAATTAAAATGTGCCACAATTTTGACAAGTAACAATGCAAGAGAGAGAATTCATTTGATCCTGATGCTGGAAATATATCCTGCTTGGAGTAGAATGCATTCTTGGATCTATAGAGAAGATTATAAATATAACCCTTATTCACTGCAGTGAGAAATATATAGCCATCAGTATAAAAGATCTGTTTATTGATTTTCCACACTTAGCATCAACCTATAAACAAAACACAAAATACTTAATCATTCTTACACAATCTTGACAAGGTAAAGGAAAAGTACAGCTGATTTGGGAGGGGGGTGTGGAAGAGAAAAAGTACAGGAAAGGGCAGGAAGACTAAATAGCCTCATCTTTATAGTGAGAAGAGTCAAGTGATACTGCCTGGAGCTGTTGGAAGAAGTCATAAATATATCACATAAAGTTAAAAACGTAAGGTGTAGAAGATAATTTTTAAAATCAAGAACATTTTAAAAATCAAGAATTATGAAAGAGATATTGTTATTTTTCTTATTGTCCTATCCATGTCTAAAGTTGTCACACCTGCAAGGAAAACTATGATTATAATATTTAGAATTATGAAGGCAGCAACCTAAAGAAGTTAGAAATCCTTAAAAAAAAATTTTCCAGTGTGTGGAATGTGGTCAGGTGGAGCAGAGGTTAGAGGCTGTTTTAAAAAAAATTATAAGCAATTCTGTACTATTTGATTCCTTGTCATGTGTATTAGTTCATGCTTGTGTCACTGTAAAGGAACACCTGAGTCTGGGTAACTTATAAAGAAAAGAGGTGTAATTGGCTCATGGTTCTGCAGGCTGTACTGGAAGCAAGGCAATGGCATCTGTTTCCTGAGTGAGGGCCTCAGGAAACTTACAATCATGACAGAAGGCAACAAGGAGCCAGCATGTCACATAGTGACAGCAAGAGCAAGTGAAAGAGAATGAGGAGGTCCCAGACTCTTTTAAACAACCAGATCTCACATAACTAACTGAGCAAGAACTCACTTATCACCAAGGGGGTTGTATTAAACCATTCATGAGGGATTTGCCCCCATGATCCAATCACCTCCCACCAGACTCCACCTCCAACATTGGGAATCACATTTCAACGTGAGATTTGGAGGGACAAACACATCCAAACCATATTATTTCACCCCTGCCCCCCCCAAATATCATGTCCTTACATTTCAAAATATGATTATGCCTTCACAATAGTTCCTCAAAAGTATTAACTCATTCCAATATTAACACAAATGTTCCATGTCCACAGTCCAAAGCCTCATGTGGGACTCACCTATGTGCCTATAAAATCAGAACAAGTAATTTACTTCTAAGATACGATGGTGGTACAGGCATTGGGTAAACATTCTTGTTCCAAAGTGGAGAAACTGACCAAAACAAAGGGGTAATAGGCATCACACAAGTGTGGAACACAGCAGGGCAGTCATTAAATCTTAAAGCTTCAAAATAATCTTCTTTGACACCATGTCCCACATCCAGGGCACGCTGCTGCAACGGGTAGGCTCCCAGGGCCTTAGGCAGCTCCACCCCTATGACTTTGCAGTGTGCGTCCTCCATGGCTGCTCCCACAGATTGGAGTTGAGTGTCTGCAGCTTTTCCATGCTGAGGCTTCAAGCTGCCAGTGTCTAGCTGCCAGTGTCTCTACCATTCTTGGATATAGAAGGCAGCAGCCCCCTTCCCACAGCTCCACTAGGAAGTGCCCCAGTGGGGACTCTGTGTAGAGGCTCCAACCCCGCATTTTCCCTTGATATGGACCTAGTAGAGTTTCTTTGCCAGGGCTCTGCCCCAGTGGTAGACTTCTGCCCATGCCTCCTATGGCATTTAGATGGGAGCTGCCAAGCCTTCTTCACTCTTGCATTCTGTGTGTCTGTAGGCTGAATACCACATGGAAGCATGGCTTATGTTATCCAAAGTGGTGTCTGGAGCCGTACCTGGGCCCTTTTGAGCCATGGCTAGAGCTGGTACAGCCAGAATGTAAGGAGCAGTGTCATGAGGCTGAGCAGGGCAACAGCACCCTGGGCCTGGCCCCTGAAACCATTCTTGCCTCTTAGCCTCTTAGGCCTCTGAGCCTGTGATCAGAGGGGCTGTCCCAAATAGTTTTGAAATGCCCTTGCGATCTTTTTTTTATTGTCTTGGATATTAGCCCTTGGCTCCCTTTTAGTCATGCTATTCGCTTAGCGAGTTGCTCCACAGGCCACTTGAATTCCTCCCCTGAAAAAGTTCTTTTCCTTTCTACTACCTGAGTAGTCTGCAAATTTTCCAAACCCTTACGCTCTGCTTTCCTTTTAAATATAAGTTTCAAGTTTGTCATTTCTTTGCTCCCATATCTGATCATAGACTGTTAGAAGCAGCTAGACCACTCATGAACACTCTGCTACTGAGAAATTTCTTCTGCCACATACCCTAAGTTATCACTCTTAAGTTCAACCTTCCACAGATCCCTAAGGCATGAACATGAATGCAGCCCAATTATTTGCTGAGGTGTAACACAGGTTACCTTTATTCCAGTTTTCAATAACTTTTTTATTTCCATTTGATACTTCCTTAGCTTTGTCTTCACTGTCCATATTTCTATCAGCATTTTGGTCAAAACTATTTAATTAGTCTCTAAGAAGTTCCAAACTTTCCCTCGTCTTCCTGTCTTGTGAGCTTCTCCCGCCCAAATTCCTCCAACCCCTGCCCGTTACTCAGTTCCAAAGTTACTTCTATATTTTCAGGTATTTTTATAGCAAAACACCACTCATTGGTGCCAATTTTCTGTATTAGTCCATGCTTGTGTCACTGTAAAGGAATACCTAAGGCTGGGTAATTTATAAAGAAAAGAGATTTAATTGGCTCATGGTTCTGCAGGCTGTACTGGAAGCATGGCAATGACATCTGTTTCTAGTGAGGGCCTCAGGAAGCTTGCAATCATGGCAGAAGGCAACAAGGAACCAGCATGCCACATGGTGAGAGTGAGAGCGAGAGAGAAAGGAGGGGAGGTCCTAGACTCTTTTAAATAACCAGATCTCACATAACTGAGTAAGAACTCACATATACCAAGGGGATGGAGCTAAACCATTCATGAGGGATCTGCCCCCATGATCCAGTCACCTCCCACCAGGCCTCACCTCCAACACTGGGAATCATATTTGAACATGAGATTTGGAGGAACAAACACAACCAAACTACATCACCATGTTACCATCATATCAATTTGATTTTTAGGATCATTGAGTACCTACCATGTGGCAAGCATTGTGTTGCATACCAGACATTTAGAGGTGGTAGCAGCCTTATAGCAGAAGCATCTAAGAAACAAATGATGCTAGTACAGGAGCCCTTCCTAGGGATGTATGTGTGTAAATCGGGAGAGAGGAAGGCAGGGCAGGGAACCACAGCTTACTTCCTTACATCTTAGCGGGAAAGTTCATGGAGTATTTGGCCAATCGATTAAAACTGTTGGTATATAACCCTCAGAGAGGTGAATTATGAGAAGAAGAGTTTAGGACTTGGGGGCTTGGAGACTTGACTCAATTTCTTTAGATTAATAATATTCTAGGCAGGCAGATAGAATTACTGACAGTTTGGGGCTGTAAGAATCCTTAGAGAGACTGTATCCAACACTTCATTTTACCAAGGAAGGTTGGTAGTAGCAGAGCTACTCCAGTTTAGTCCTTCTGATTCCAGGTTTAGTCCTAGATCAAAGGAATTCCAGACTAAGACACCTGTCAACACAGGGAACTGATTTTTATTACATACCTACCTTGAGCAGGCACAGTACTGCCTACTTGATTCATGTTATTTAATTTAATCTTCACAACAGCCATATGAGGTAGGCTCTGCCCATATTAAATTTGAGCAAATTAATATTTAAAGTGTTTAAATAATTTGTCTAAGGTCAATAACTGAACAGATACAAAAGAGTTTGACCTCTAAGTTCATGACCCTTGGGTTTTGGCCCATAATGTGAGCCCTGCTGGTTGAGATGAGAGCAGCACATTCCTACACTGGTGACCAGAGGTAAAAATAAAAATCATTTCATATTTAATCATTAAACATATCAACAAGATGCATAATAAAAGAAACATGGTTGTGGCGCTGTATGAGCAGAGCTCTTTGATCTGCCTCTCCACACCCCCATGGCCACACTGGGTGAAGGTCTGTGTGCTGCTAGACCATCCTTCTTAGTTAGAAAGGACCCCAGGAGACTTTGCCTAGCCCCAAGCTATCCTGAGCAAAATAAATAGAAACCAAAAAGAGAGAGAGGAGAGATAAATTCTTACTGACTTTAAAAGATTTATACTGACAATATCCCAAGGAGCTTATGAAATGTATTTTTTCCCTTATTTTTGGTAGAGGAAAGCTGCTGATGAAGAGATAGCTCTCAACTATAGAGTTCCATTGAGAGTGAAAATAAGCTCAGTCGCTTATTGATAGTCCGGTTGCAGAAAATAAGATTCATATAAACATCATCTCACATATTAGAACTGGAAAAATCTTCCAGTCAGCTTTGAAAGGGTTCCATTATTGAGGTGCCAAATTTCGGGGACAGAATTTACATGCATGGCCACACCCAAGGGTGGAGAGGAGCAGTGACACAGAAAGAGCCCCTAGTCCAATACCTCAACACCTTCAGCTGGATTTTTGAGCTTCTCATGCATGTGCACATGTGCATAGCAGTAATCTTCCTGAGAAGAATGGAGATACTTTCTTTATTTTGCCCCCATTCTTCCCTTCAGTAGCTCAGAAAACTCCTGGTTTCTACTCAACATTCTGCCAACCTGAGAACATCAGAGAATGGTCTCAGACCAGGACACAGTTGCTGCTGCTCCCTTATGTGTAAATTATTATTGGACATGGGACTGTCTTCATCCTAACCCCAGGCCATACCCCCAAAGAGTCTGGAGCAAGACTCTGTCCCCAGAGATACTTCCAGGGTCCTCACGTGCTCTGCACAGATACACACTACCCTAGTACTGGAAACCCCAGTCATCCACCCTCAACACATTGCCTTTGCTTACAACAGTAATATAGCAAACACTTCGAATTTGCATTTAGTCACATTCTTGCCCTTGTGTGGACTTGTGGTGCAAGATGAGGTTGGGTCAATATTAATTCCCTCTTGCCCCCACCATAACAGATCAGTTCTCCTGCTGCACCACTCTGATGGTGCCACTCACCTGCTCAAAATATCTGGCTCTCTATTATCCACAAAATGAAGCTGGAAATCTTCAGCCAAGAAGCAATGCTCTCTGTGGTCTGGTTACACCTCCTATCTCCCTGGCCCTCCTTATTTCTCAGTCTTCTCTCCAGTGTCCTACTCTGCAGCCAAACATCATCTACCTTTGTCCTGACTCCTCTTCCCTTCAACTTTTGCACAGTCCATTCTGCCAGTATCTTTGTTTTTCTCTCCCTGTAAGACCTGGCTCAAGGGTCTTCCTCTTTACGGATCTTCCCACCTGGACCTCCTGTCTCCTCCTTCCTGAAGGCTCCCAACATGTTTTGCCTGGATGTGTGTCTGACTTTATGACCTCTATTTGTGCTGATAGTTCTTGCAGACATCTGTGCACCCCTGCCAGACCTGGAGTTCCTTGAAGGCCACAACTGTGTCTGTCACATCTATGTCCTCAGGGCAGAGCCAGTGCTTGGATGTTTGCTCAAAATAGGCATCCATTAAATGGAATCTGAGGGCAGAAAGGAGTAAGGAAGGGACCGAATAAATGGATTTGGTCTGGTGTCCATGTGCCTCTCATTCCCCTTCCTGCCCCTCTGACTTCCAAAGCTATACATCCTGGCCACAAGTTACCTTGGCCATGTTTTAGGCTGAAGTACACAGTGGGCCAGTGAAAAAGAAACAAGGAGAAGAGTACTGCTTAGAAGTCCAGAAATCTGGAGTATGGTCTTAACTTTCAAACTAAGACTTTGGACAAGTCATTTCCCTATCTGGATCTCCAGTCTGCTTCCCTAGGAAAGCAAGAGGACTGAATTAGATGATCTTCCCAATTCTTTGTCTTTGGTTCTAATCCCTTTTCTTTTCCTCTGTGCCCATGATAAGAACATTTCCTCTGCTGCAAAATACTGTCATAATGTAGATTATTTATGACAGTTGTAGATCACTTTTCTTATATGCCATGCTGAAGCTTCCCAACAAGTACAGAGGGTTCACGTTCTCGATCCAGCTCAGACACGGTCTTATGCTTCATCCTGATTTTAACCAGAAGTCGCTTTTACTTACTTTAAGAAAGTTGGAAACCTCCAATTCCTGGAACAACACCTTCCTTTTGAGTAATGCTTTGCCTTGGTAGGAATCCCCCTCTTTTATCTGCACCATTGTTTATTGCAGGCTGCTAGTTTATTTGCCTATTTGGGAAACTGGGTTATCTGCAGAAGGAGACCTTGGAAGTGCCAGGAGTAGTTTAAGAAGACTGAGTACTCATTAGCTGCTTCCCACTGTGGAAGTCAGGGATCTTGTTGAAACAGATTTCTACTGCAAAAGGAGCAGCATCTAATGGCCCAAAACTTCAAAGCAGAAGTGAGCAAGTAAAATTAATGTATCAGAAGGAATGCCTGGAACAATATAATGGTGGTGTGCTTTTACACTGACAGTAATCCCCATGAATGTAGGTTTCTCGCAGGTCATTTGGCCTGTGCTACTGGAATCAAGATTGGCTTGCTCCAGAGGGAAACTCTGCCATGGGCACAACAACAGGGGAGATTTGTAGGGCTTTTTCTGTGGAGACCAGTTGCAAGTTCACATGACTCATAGGCTCAAGAGCTGAAATGAACATTAAGAGATTATTGAGTTCAGCCAACCCTCTCACCCCATTTTACAAGGGAGGAAACTGAAACCTAAGAAAGTTAATGCTTTTCCAAAGATCATTCAACTAGTAAGGGAAGGAACAAGAGTCTTTTGAAATAGATGTTTTTATTCCTGTTTTGCAGATGAAAAATCGAAGGCTCTAGGACACAGAAGTAGGAAGTAGGGGAGCTAAGGTTCGAACCTTGGTCTGCCTGATTATAAGGCCTATGTCTCCAGCCACTGTCCACCTGCATCAGGCTATACTATTTACAAAGAAAATCTAAGAATGGAGGAAGAAGGCTGGGTGCATGCAGAGAAGGAGATAATGGCCTCCAGTATCTCTGATTTTGATGCCATTTGTCTCTAAGTCTTGCCACAGAGCTACTGCTGGTCTTACCTGAACACATCTGCAGATTCGTTTTCCCTGTCTCTTTCCAGGCTCCTTTCTCCTTCTCAACACCTCAGCTGACTCCAAGCACACCATCCTGAGTCCGTGGATGAGGAGCAGCAGTGAGCACTGCACACTGGCCGTCTCGGTGCACAGGCACCTGCAGCCCTCTGGAAGGTACATTGCCCAGCTGCTGCCCCACAACGAGGCTGCAAGAGAGATCCTCCTGATGCCCACTCCAGGGAAGCATGGGTAAGTACTTCTCCATGTCCAAAATTGATTTTATACCAGGTGATTTGGCTTTTGGTTACACATTTCCAGAGTCTGTGACATCTACTTACAAACTCATGATTGTCCTTTAATCGGTAGGTCCAGGTTGAGCAATTACTACTAATATCCCTTAGGTAGTGTCTTGGGTACTGATTTGTGGGTCCCTCTGACTTCCCTGGCTAGTGGCCCTTCCAGAAGCCAGAGGACCAGCTGCCAGAGTGGGGATTTCATGAGTGGGTGTTAAAGATGTTCATTTCCCAAAGTTCAGATACAGCCAAGAAGAAAACAGTCAAAGAAATGTTAAAAGGCCAGAATGAAAGTAATTTAATATGGTAGAAACTGGGTTTTACCAGCAGAAGTTGGGCAGGAAGGGAAAGGACAAAGTACTTTGGCCATCCAAGCGGGTTCTATGGGAGTTTGGTACCCCAGAGCAGGATTAGTCATGGATACTACGCCAATGTAATTCAGTAGAGATTGGAACAGAGCTTTGTGCTACAACCACCAAGACATATGACAGTGGAATCCTCTAAGCTTTCTGGAGATACTTGCTTACTCAGTGATCCATCAGGCCTCTGCGGTAGTGACATTGGAAAGCAAACTTAAACTAGGGCACTTCTGTGCCTGGCTTTTGTTTTTCCATTCCATAAGTATAAATACCATCCTATGACCTCAGCGTTGAGGGACCCCAGATCTGATTACTTTAGCAACAAGGATCCTTCTTTGTGACTTGTTTACAGGAGAAAAAGCCCAACTGTCTAGCTATGCTTAGACTTGGCTTCCTTCTAAGAGAATACCTTTTCAGAAGGGTCCCACCTGAACGATAACTGTTACCCATTGTCCATCCCCATGGTGTGCAGGGGAGAGATCCTGCCTGTTGCTTTGGCAATAAGGCTGAATGGCCTCCTTCGTAATTTCTTGAAAGTCTTCTCCCCACTCCCAGCCATTAACCCATCTGTATTTAGTTGCACTTAGAAGGACTACAAGCTGCTGCAGTCTCATCAGGAATGAAATCTTGACATCAAAAAGAATGCTCTCCCCATTCCTAAACTCATATCCATCTTCTTGCCTCTGAAATGCCTCTCTGGGCTGGCTGAGAAGGTCCCAGCTACCAAGGACTCTTGCTCTATTCACCAGATATCAGTGTGGCATAGCAGGTGTCTGGGCTGCCCCTTGTTTGGGACCAGCTATCTTCTGGCACCAAGCCTCCCTCCAGCACGGCTTCTCTTTCCAGTAAGAAGCCTGGATGGGAAGACTTCTTATCTGAGGGCAGGGCTATGTGCCATCCTATAGGTATTTGCCCAGCCTCATATTCTGAGAGCTGCATATTCTGACTTATCACTCTCAACATTCCTTCCTTCCCTACCAGGACTGGCAGAGACCAGGGAGTGCTGCTTGAGGCTTCTGAGCCCTCAGGCATCAGTCCATTGTGGTGCTGGTGGCGGGTGGGAGGATTCACTGATGTGGCTGGGAGAGGTGGAGTTGGAGTCTGAGAATACCCATGAGTGTGAGAAAAGGTGCCAGAGGGGTTTCAGCACTTCTTGTGTGGCCTGGCCTGTTTCCCTGTGTAGCATAGTCAGGAAAATAACTCCTCGGGTATGACTGGCCATAGGGCCTTGCAAATAGTTTTTCCCTCTTTACCTTTCTATGCTCATATAGGAAGTCAATTCTCATTTAAAAGAGGAGAAAACTGAGGCAGAGAGAGGAAATAGGAAGTGATGTGGTCCAAACTGGACTCTTTCCAGGAGACCTGAAGCCTCTTAGGGAGAAAGGGTGGAGTTGGGAAAGAGAAAGGGAAATATGAAAGAATCTTGCAAAAAAAAAAAAAAAAAAAAAAGAGCGATTATTTTGATTATTTGATCCTTCAAGACAAATGAGCCCTGGGACTTGCCATGTCAGTGCCTTCAGGGGCAGCCTTCCCTCCACATGATGCCATGGTCACCTGCCTCAACGTCCACCTGGCCACCCAACTTATCCTCTTCCCAAGGCAATGCCTCCATCACCAGAGGAGCTGCTCTGTCCTCTGGAGGGTGTGAGTTGAGCAGGAGAGAGGAATTGGGACTGAGCTGAGGCAAATTCAGTGACTTGATGGCTTTGTCTGGGGCAGAGTTTAGTGATGAGCTGGAGTGATTCCAGATTTAAAGATGCCTGGACCAGCCTCCTCACCTCCCATGAGATCTGTGTGGTGAGGGTAGAAGGTGGCAGCAGAAAGGACAATCAATGGACCATCCACTGCAGCGCAGAGCTACTCTTGTGGGTGCCTTGGCCAGCTGCAAGGAACAGGGCATTTGCCCAGCAAATCAAAACTTGCCCAGCTTTGCACTGTTCAGAGTTTGGGATCACAAAGGATGGAGATTTGCCTGCTCTCTGATTATGGGGTCGCTGCTAGTCTCAAGAATCTTTGGATTTGCAGTACTCAGCAGTTTGCCTTGCCGAAAGCTTGCTCTGTTTAATGTCAGAGATGACCTCACTAGCATAGTGCTCAGAGCAGCGAGGGGGACACAGTGATATCCTGGTGATGTTGAATGTGATGATTACGAATGGGGCTGGCTTCCTCTCATAACAGGAGACGGTGGTTTGGGGACCACTATTTGGAAAACAACATTCCGTGTTTGTAGTAACGAGGGAGGAAGTTGTAATAATAAAGTCGGCTGGGGAGAGCCTGACTCAGAGGAGTGGGCTGAGGAATGACAAGTCAGACGCCACCAAGTTCCCCGGAAACCACTGTGTCGTGAGCAGGTGGTGCCGGCTGTCGTGCACGGGTGGGGCAGGAGCAGCAGACTGGTTGGAAGCACCCGGAGGCAGAAGGCAGGGGAAAGGCAGTTGGAGAAGCACAGCAGCTGCTGCCTTCCTGGTTGCCTGGAAAGCAGCAGAGTATATGAGGTCTAATGAATCACAGAGCATGAGTGGCCACGTTGGCCAAGGCTGCCGGGCTTTGGCTGGAGTCTCGCAGGGGACAGACAGATGAGTGCCCAGCCTGCTCATCTGCATGGCCAGAATGACCAGAGAAGCAAGGAAGCAGAGAAATAGGGGCTACCAAACAGCCTAGGCCCGGCTGATCACAGAGTCACATAGGCATAGGACATCTTAGCTAGAAATTAGTGGCCATAAAGTCCCCATGAACTGAATGAATAGGATAATACTTATGTAAAATGGTGAGCTGTGAAATGGCATATGGAAAATGGCTCGCACAGTGCCTGGCTATCATTGGCACTAATAAGTGCTAGGTCCTTTTGGGTTCAAACATTCATCTCACCATCATGGATTGAGTGCCTCTTGTGTGGCAGGTGCCAAAGATGACACAGCCAAAGACAACAAGGTCACAGCTTTCAAGGAACATCTAGTCCAGTAAGGAAGACACAAGCAGAATAGCAACAGCACATGCTTATGTGAATGTTTTAAAATTGAGGCTCGTATTATTAAGAGGCTGAGCTAAGATCGCTAGTGGCAGATCCAGCAGAAGCAGCCGGCTAGGGAGCCACCCACTGCACCACACTGCCATTCTGATGTGTCTCAGAAGATCAATCCAGCAGCAATTGTCTGTGTAAAATTGGTCCTCTCCCGGATGCAAGAACGCAAGCTTGATGGTGGGTGGCGTGTAGGGCTATAGGAGACACTCTCCAGGGCTCCTACCCAGAAGGCCACCTCGTGTCTTGTTTCCTTTCGAAGCACATGACTTTTTCCCACAGCAGCGGGTATCTGGGGACTTTATTATGTATGACCAGAACTACACAGTGTGTGGAGGGAAGAATTGGGCCTCAAGGGGATAGAAGTTGCCAATCATTTGGATTACTAATACTTGAAAAGATATTTTAAACCGGAAGTCGTTGAGGAAACTCAGGCTTGAGCCAAGATAAGCTGTCAGGGCATTTTAAAGCACAAATAAGCCTCAGTCCAGAGGGTGGTGGTGAATTGAAATTCTCAGCACAAAGCCTTGCCTTTCTGCAGGACCTCAACCCCTAGACCCGGAAGATACGGGAGTCTAACCTCCTCCCCTTTCCATGTTGGTTTCCTGATGGGGAACATGAAGCCCAGGCGGGTGATGTGATGTAATGTGACGTGATGAAGGTCAAACTGCAGGCTCAGACCCGGCACAATGGCTCACACCTGTAATCCCAGCACTTTGGGAGACCAAGGCGGGAGGATCACTTGGGGCCAGGAGTTCAAGACCAGCCTGGGCAACATAGCGAGACCCCCAACCTCTACAAAAAAAATATATTTTTAGTTAGCCAGGCATGGTGGTACATGCCTGTAATCCCAGCTATTCATGAGGCTGAGGCAGGAGGCTTGCTTGAGCCCAAGAGGTTGAGGCTGCAGTAAACTGTGATCATGCCACTGCACTCCAGCCTGGGTGACAGAGCAAGACCCTGTCTCAAAAAAACAAACTAAGAAACAAAACTGCCTGCTCGTGGCAAAGCCAGGACTCATCTCCACAGTGGCACCCTGGAAAGGTCTGTTTCCCAGCTGCCCAGCTGCATCAGGAAACCCTCAAACTCACTGCCCTTAGATTAAAATCTGCAGCCACCCTCCCCAAGTGAAGAAAAATTTGCATTCATGCTGGGTACCCACACAGCTGCCGCGCTTACTTAAGGCAGTCAGTTCTGACCAAAGATCCCAGCTTTAAAACCAGTAGCAATCCTAATAGGAAATGTGCCAAGGTAATTTAACTCAAAAAGATATTGATTTGTGGCCATCAGGAGGTATGGTTTCAATCCTGATTCCACCGCTAATTTGCAGCATGGTTATGGACAACCACAGTATTGCCCAGCCGTAGCTTCTTACCTTCTAAAGTGGAAGCTCTGGTTGCCCTCTGCTCCCCTCTTCTGTCCTGGCAATGCCAGCAACCTATCCTCAGATGCCATCCAGGACTAGGGCAGCAGGAAGTAATTCTCCCCACCCCAGACTCCTGCTCCCTGGACAAAGAGGAACCTCCCTACTGGCCCACTGATACCTTCACCACTAATGCACAGAACCCTGGCTGTTCCTGTCAGTAGACAGGCCAAGCGAGAGATGGTCTCAGGGCAGGGCACCTGTGGAAAGATGCCACCAGGTATTTGCTTCTGAAAAGGGACCTGATTGCTTTTCCCAGGCTGCTCTGGGTTGAACTTCAGTCAGCCCAGTGCAATGTGGCAAGTCTTGACAGCTGAGGAAATCAGAGCCTGTGGCATTCAGCCTCCATGGTCAAAAGTTCTCTTCGAATCTTGCCTGCATGATAAATGAGATCAGAAATAAAAAAGGTGATCATTTATTGAAACTGATGCCCTCAAGTGGCAGTGTCACAATGATTTCAGGCCCAGCTTTTTCTCACTTTCAAAGTCATTCATAGAGTCAGCTTCTCTCTTTTCCCCCATGGTCTGAATAACACACTAATAAATATACAATAAGGCCTTTAATGTCTAGGTGATTTACACTAAAAAGAGAGAGCCATTCAAAGGCTCTAAAGGTAATTTTTAAAAGCCTTAAAACTCACACCCAGGCTTGTCAGGGGGATATTTCTCAGACACCTTGTTACAGGAGCAATCACGTAGCTCGAAGTTCTCTGAGCACACAGTGGGCAGGAGACTTGAGCTCTAAGTATTCTTGGAGGAAATTCTTCACACACAATATGAGCTTGGACAAGTCTCAGAATCTCTACAAGCCTCATCTTTGTCAAATGGTAGTAATTGTGCCACTCACGGGGTTGTCGTGGGTTTAAATTAGATCAACAAGCAGAGCAGGTGCTGATAGTGCCTAACCCCCTGCCTCCCAGGCTGTCTGTCTAAGGGACACTCTCCTCTCAGGCTGCTCAGGGTCATGGGAGAGTGGGCAGGAAGAGAGCCAGGGTTACAGATTTCACTTAAACCCCTCCTTCTCAGAGTAACCACTTGTGTTCTCCAAGATAGATCCCAAAGTACCAGTCCCATTGAGTATACCTGGATTTACCATATTCCTCCCCACTTTAAGTAGTAATATTGAAGCAACTACTAAAATGCTAGTCCTCTTAAGAGGAACTGGACCTTCAGCGATTAACATAGTAGGTCTCAAGCTTTAGTAATACAAGTGAGAACTACACATTTTACAAACTTCATACAATTGAGTCTCATCTTTTTTTTTTTTTTTTTTTTTTTTGAGATGGAGTCTTGCTCTTGTCACCCAGGCTGGAGTGTAGTGGCGTGATCTCAGCTCACTGCCAGCCTCCGTCTCCTGGGTTCAAGTGATTTTCCTGCCTCAGCCTCCTGAGTAGCTGGGATTACAGGCCCCCACCACCACACCTGGCTAATTTTTGTATTTTTAGTAGAGACAGGGTTTTACCATCTTGGCCAGGCTGGTCTCAAACTCCTGACCTTGTGATCCACCCACCTCAGCCTCCCAAAGTGCTGGGATTACAGGCATGAGCCACCGCACCCGGCCCGAGTCTCATCTTGAGCTATTCTGATTTTACTCGTCTTGGAGTGGGCCATGAGCATATGTATGTTTAGAAAGCTCTGCAGGGATTCTGGGTGTGCACCAAAAGTTAAGAATCATGGCTCTAACATCTCAGCTTGAATTGGTTGATCACATAAGCGGGTAGCTTTATATAACCATTTACTAAGCACTAGGAAGAAAAGTAAAAAAGAAAGCTTAAAGACTTGGGAGGGACTTGTGTTTAAGGTGGAGAGCCATTTTTCTCCCACTTATGGGTGGACAGGCTAGTGACAAGGTTTCCAACCCTGGCCTAATCCTGCCTACATAGTCCCTGAGCTGAGGTAGCTGGAGGGTATCCAAGGTCATGAATGTCACTGGTCTCCACAGGTGGATATACTCCTGACACATCTGTTATTCTGTCTCTAGAAGGACTATGGCTTCCAAAGCCACAGGGGAATGAGAAGAATACAGATGGACTAGAGAAGCCAAACCTCTTAAAGCCAGAAGGAAGCTCCATCCCATTCTTCCATTTAACTAACCATCCATCCATCCATTCATCCACCAACCATCTATCCATTATCCATCCATACATCCCATCTACCCACCTATCCATCCATCCATCTACCCATCCATCCATCCGTTCATCCATCCATCCATCCATCCACTCATCCATCTACCATCCATCCATTCATCCATCCATCCATCCATCCATCAATCCATTCATCCATTAATCCATCTATCATCCATTGATCCATCCATCCACCCATCCATCCATTCTCTTTGTACTTCACATATTGACTCTCATCTAGGTCCCAGGTTAACAACAGAGCCACAGCCCTCCTTTTTGTTCTCATGAAACAGATACTATGTTGTTAATATTCATGGTAAATATCTGTACAGTGCATGTTCAGTTTGCCAAGTGAGTCAACCTCTATCAACTCATTTCACCTTTACTATGATCTGTACCATTCATATTATTCACCTCCTTTATAGAAGAGTAAACCGAATCTCAGAGAGCTTCCATAATTTGCTTATAGTCATGGGTAACACAGGGAAACAGATCTTCTGGGTCCATTTCTTTTCTTGTGTTGTTTTCCCAAGAAAGCCTTGCAGTTGAACCTTGGCGTCACGCCTGGCTCCGAGGAAACTAAGAGCTGTTCTTATCCAGTCAGGAAAAGCTCTTCTCAGGAGGACTCCTCTGAAATTTGGTCATCTAATTCTGGCCCACAAGTCTTGAAGATGGAGACTTTGGGTTGCACACCTTTTTATGCTAGCAATGTCTGGCACACTGCCTAGCACATAGTAGGGGTTCTATATTAGGTGGATGGATAACATATCAATTGAAGCTAGTTCTAGGATGCACCTCTTCTAAAGCCTAAGCTCTGGGTCTAAAAATTAAAGCCCCGTTCAAGATCACAGAAGAGTCTCCAATCGATGAAAAGATGAAAAGTATTTTCTCCCTGCCCTCCACCCACACCCAGGAATAAATGTGCAACCCTCCCTGGGGCTCAGGAAGCAGCTGTCAAAATGCACCTCAACTGTGAAGGTTGTCATGAAGTACAAAGGACAATTCCTTTCCTGGCAGGTACAACTTTTACTCACGATTGCTTTCATTGATGGGCATAAAAAAAAAAAAAAAAAAAAAAAAAAAAAAAAACCTTCAGCTTCTGCCAGTTCTGACCTTCGAGATTTGACAGCTGAAGGCTTGTAGTGAGGCTCTTTTGAGCTGCTGCTTTTGCTTTCTCACTCTGCCCTGGATGTTTGATGGATTGAACACCAGGACGATGAGAGAACTGTGAATACCTGTAACCCCGTGCTTGTCAGAATGGCATCTTGGCCAATCCCATAATGATAAATATATATTGTATACAAAGAGAAGTCAAAATGCATAGAAACAGACACTTCTCATCTCAGAAGTGTTTACTGAGCCTCACTGTTTCCCAGTGGGGAGGGAGATGGTAAAAATAGGTGCAAGAATTTTAGTGATAGAACACTGGTGTCAAGAAATTCACTCATAGTTCATGTATGCATTCTGTCAACAAATGTCTATGAGTCATGCTCAGTCCCAGGCACTGGTTGGACTCTGGAAGCTCATTCAGCCTTCCAGGGGCTCAGAACAAGGTTTGGAGTTGGACGACAGACACAGTTATGAGGCCATAAGGAAAGGGGTGTAATGGGTGCTGTGCATTGGGTGCTATGGGAATGCTTGTGGCTGTCAGGCAAGCTAGCCCTGAGAAGGACACTTGAGCTGGCTCTGCAGGGGCAAGGGGTGTCAGGTGGATGATGAGAGGAAGACATTCCACACAGAGAGTGCACGTGTGCAAAGGACCGCCTGAGGACACAGATGATGAGCTGTGGCCACGTGATTCTCTTGGTTTCTTCCTCCCCCTCCTGCCCGGGGTTCCTTATCCTGGCTCTCTGAGTGCTCACTTTCATGTGTTTGTGGCCACTGGCTTATGTAGCAAGAAAGCCCATCCCTCTCCACAAAAGCAGTCCTCAGACAGCAAAGCCTCATCCCTAAGCCCCACAATCACCACTACCTCTTCTTGTAGCAAATGTCCTGCTGCAAATGCCCAGAAGACCTCCCTCTGAGTGCAGGCTCTCCCCTCGCTTTCACTTTCTCTCTGGTAGTATCTTCTTCCCTAACGAAAACTCCAAGTACCTATATGGACAATCTGTGCATACAACTATTTTTTACACCAGCACAAGTGGGTTTCAGTGGATGAGCCAGGACTCCAGGAATGGCCTGTTGTCCCTTCAGTCCCCACTTTGCAAGAAGAGTAGCCATGGAGATGGGGTGGGGGTTCTTTGTGGACTGCCCTTAACCCCTTTTCCACTACAAAAACCCCTACACATGCAATGTCCCCTCCTCTGAGAAGCCCTTTTAGGGTTTCTCAAATAGCATTGACCATGTAGCCTTGTGACCATTCAGTTACCAGCTTGTCTCTCCCTACAGTCAACAGGGACCCAGGGTCCTCTCCCTGTTGACTCATAAGTGCCAACACATGAAAGACAGGGAGAGAATGAGGCTGCTGGCTGGGGACGGGACAGGACCTGGCATCCCAGATAGGAATTCACGTCCCTTCCTTCATTCCCCGTAATTTGTATGATAATGAGGAAGAGAAAGAGGAAGAATCACTTGATGCTTACTCTCTGGTCTCAGCATTGTTCTAAGTGCTTTGCATGTGTCAGCTCATCTAATATTATGTGTACCACCACTTGGTGAGGGAGGCCCTAGCACTACTACTTTTACAGTGGGGAAGCTGAGGCTCAGTGAGGTTAAGTAACCTGCCTAGAGTTGCACAGCTTGTAAGGAGTAGACTGGATCTGAGCCCAGCTAATCCAGCTCCACTGTCCCTGCTCCCAATCACCACTCTATGGATGGTAACTACCCTATTGCCAGCTGATAATTAAGGATGCAGTCTTATTTATTTATCATTATTAACCATTATTTATTGTTTATAAATCCCAGCTGCATTTTTCTATGGTGTGCATACAGTCCTTCCTGTCCGCAATAAATGGCAAAGTTATAAGGCTTTGATGCACAGAAGAGGCCTGTTTTAGAGAGCAGGCAGTCCTGAGACTTATGTCTGGCACTGCCGAAGGTCATAGAGAGCCTATCCAGAAAGGCTGGCCTCCGCTCTCCTGTCTTCTGAAGCTCCATTCCAACCCAGTTGCCTTCACCTTCAAAAACCAAGTCTGCATTGAGGAGATGGAATCGGGTGATGGAATTGCCAGCTCTTTGAGCCATAAGGAAACTGTCCAGGCAACTGGAGCTGATGGCCCAAGAGTGAGGAAACACCATGACCCACTTAGTAGCCCAGTTCCCCTCTGCATTCATGCCCAGCCTCAAAGCAAACCTCCTTCTTTCTCATTACTTGGCCTGTTTCTAAGTTTGCCTTTTCCTCTTTGTTTTATTTAGGGAACGACACACATATGCCTGGCTAAACTCCTTGCTTTTACAGAAATGCATTCTCTTATGGTTCAGAGCCTTAGTGAAGAGCCATAGCAGCCTTGGGATTTTGAATTTAAAGGGCTTCACAAAGTCTACACAAAGATTTGGTGCAATGTCTATTCCTGGGAGAATCTTACATCAGTAAGCTCAGTGAATGAGTGTTCCCACTCCTTTCCAATGACTGATTGTGTTCCCCCTGCCAGTGGGGAAGTCTTGTGGTGGTGAGAAAAGGGAGGGTCCCTAGGGGAGGCCACTGAGAGCAGGCTGAGCCCAGGGCATGAGACCTACCATTGCCAGAAGCTGAAGATGTTTCTTCAGATCACTCACCTGAGGGCACCAGGTTACCTGAGGATCCAGGACCTTGCTCCACCCTATAGGGCAACTTAGCTCAAATGATGCACACATAATGGGAGTCTAAGGAAAGACCTGTGGGCCATGCTGCTTTTTTCTTAGCCCCACTGTGTGATCCAGGCTTTCAATTCACCAAAAGGAGTGTGAAGGAGAACCCACAGTCAAATTGGTATTTTGCATTGTGCTGTTCATTCTGTGGGACGTTCCTTGCAGTCCTAGAATGATCATCTCAGTGACTTCTCCTGGCCATCAGGAAGCCCCATGTTGGAATAAATGAAGACCCGGATGAGAGAACTGACAAGTGAATATCACGGGCTGTTAATCTTCAGCCTCAAATCCTTTAGGGGATCCCTGTGAAACCCAGGATCAAGTCTGAGCTGTTTATTAGTATGGCACTCAAAGCCACTGATCAAGCCTCACCCCTCCTGAGCCTGGCTCACCCCATTTCTCTGGACCCATGATTCGTTTGTATCAAACTACCCACAGTTGCCCCCAAGTGAAGCAAGCCAGTTCAAGCCATTTTGCCTTCCCTCACCTTCCCGACCATCAAGAACAATAGGTCTTCTCCTCCAAGAAGGAATCTCTTAGCTCCTTTTCCACAAAGCCTTTCTTGAGACCCCAGACCTTCTGTGAGCAGAGCTGATTGCACCACCATTTGCTGCCTGTTCCACATCTCTATGAGTGTTCTCACAGCCCTGGGCCACATTTGTTCTTTCACATGTCTTCCTCACCAACCAGGTACCCCAAGAATAGGGATGGGCATTATTTATCACTGTATCTGCAATGCCTAGCACAGTACTTGTCTCACAGTCAATAAATGCTTATGAAATGAACAAATTCCCAAATTAATTGGACCAGAAACTCTTTGAAAACTTGCGACATGGTTTTAAGAATGCATCTATAATGCTCTTGACCAAAATTCCATCTCTGTTCTTCATAACGACTCACTTCCTTCTACTCAACCTCCAATCGAAGGACTGTCTTCAGCCTGGGTTATCTCCATTTGTGGCCTTAACCATCCTACACTGCCGAGCAAATGCTGGCCTATGTTAGTCTTGGAAATGAGGTGGTTCCCATGCTTGGTGATTGCCCTGTCCGTGTGTGCCTTTTAGTTCCTCTAATTTCCTGAGCTATTTCCTGCATATTTCCTGTTCTTCCAGTCAGGACTTCTACTTAGTAATTTTCCCCCAATTCCTCCTTCTCCTTAGTTTACTAGTCTTTACATCACCACTTAACCACACTGACTTCTGTTGAGTGTTTTATCTTTTCAGATAATCTAAGATGAATTCCAATTACATTCTGTCCAACTGTTTCCTAAATATTCCCTCCATGATTTTGTTTCTCTGTCTTAGGACTAAAATTTCTCTGTGACTGCATGAAATTCTAATCGGCAGTCTGCTGGATGTTCACCTGCAGGCCTCAGAGTGATTTCCCTATCTGGAGTCTTCCAGCCTTTCTCGCAGTGGCCTGGTCACCTGCCCTGGGAGCTTCCTAGTGACCATTGGCTCATCCTCTCAGTAGATCCAGATGACTTCCATTTCTAAAAAGCCTCACTTGTCTATCAACTTTCTTGTTTAACCTCTGCCACCTTGTCTAACTTACGGACAGTCTCCAGGGTTCCAGGAGGTGGTGGCAGCAGGTACATTGTGTGTGGGATGTGAGCCAGAAAATGTGGTTGTTGGCAAAGCCAGAAATCAGATGGAAATAAAAACTCCTGTATTTCATCATATACCCAAGGTCCTTAGTTCTTGGCCTTCACCCATGACTGCCTCTCCAATTTCACAATCCTACATGACTGTTTGTGGGTTAAAGGCATAATCTAGCTAGCAGAACTTGAAAAATATTTCAATCATGGAATCATGAACCAGAAATGAACCTTAAAAGTAATTGAATTCAAATTCTTTATCCCCTACCCCAAAACAATGCAAGAGGCTCTTCCAAAGCCCATCTGGCTTTGACTTGCCTGACTCCAGCAGTAGAATGCTCACCACCTTGCAAAACAGATCACCCCATTGTACAGCAGCTTTAGCTCCCAGGTAGAACTTGCTGATATCCCCTTGGCTTTGTAACTTTGGAAAGGTAATGACTGTCTCTAAAAAGTTATTCAATATCTCCAAACCTCTTGTGTTTTATACACAAAATGGCAATAGTAATACCTGCTTACCTTGTAGGCTCTTTGTGAAAATAATGCTTTTAACAACGATAGCCAATGTGTATAGAGTATTTACCATGTTCTTAATACAAAGACATATGATTTCATTTAATACTACAGTTTCCCTATGAAGTAGTACTATGATAATGCATACAAAGCACCTAGAATCATATCAGCACCCAACACATGATAGTTCCTTCTCCTATTTCACCATGATCTGGTTGATCCTCTATTTGTCCTCTAGAGTCATACAGAGGAAGCTTACTTTCTCCTAACAAGGCAGTCTGTCTTCCCTTTGAGGATAGTTTTTATATCTCTTCTTCACTTGTTTTCCCAGGCTAAGTGATTTTAGTCTCTTCTACAGCATAGTTGCCACAGCCATATTGTTCAGAGGGATTCTTACCAGCAAAGGGGTCAGGGGACTTGTTCTTCAGTGATCTGGAACCTCCACCCGCTGATGTGGCTTAAGCCTGGCTCACCCTTTCGCTAGCTTTATTCTGCGTTTGAACCCCAGCCACCTAAAGTTGACACCGTTAGGAACCATGAAAGCTGCTGTAGCATTTCACTAAAACCATTTCTTAGACTATTTGATTCTTTTTTCTGAATGGAGAATCCTCAAGTTTTTCTTGCAGGCAAAGAAGGCCTTTCTTGTTTGCTATTGACATTCCCAAAAATGTCTGATTCGGAAAGAAATTCAATTCTGGCCCCAGCTTTCACATCATCTTGCTTTGTTTGTCATCCCTGTAGCCTGCCAGCTTTGCCCCTTTGTTCCCCTAATTGCCAGAGACATTTTTATACTGAGTAAATTGCATCAGGCCCACTGCAAAATGAATCAATTTGGGAAGAGTATGAGCTGCACTGTTGTCTTAAGTGTGCATTAACATTTAGATGCGTTATTTAAAATGGGCCTGGAGTTCATGCCAGAGAGACTGCCTCATGCCTATTCTGACTCATTCTCTGCTATTGGACTGCACAGAAGGGAACTGGGGAGCCCTACAGCCCACCACCAACCCTGTTTTATTCTCCATATCTCCAGGGAGGGCTTGAACTAGGTGAGAACTTCTAAGAGCTCAGATTTGGGAAGTAAATTTACAAACGGAGTTTGACTTGGTGGTCTCAGAGTGAAGTAAAGACAGGTGAAGGAGGAGATGAAGGGGAGGCGAGGTTCTCCTTCTCTGTCTGTCACACACCATGCACACACTTGACATCTAGCTTTAAATACAAATCATACGGCCAGAAGTCTTTGGAGGTAAAACAAAGCATACACAAAAACACAAAGGACACCAGCCAACGCTGTAGTTTAAAAATTAAGTGATGTTCTGGAACTGGTGAAAAAGCAAGGCTGCAATCCTGATAATCATGTGGTGATTTGATGAGATAATTCTTTTATCATCAGGAGAGTCAGATAATATCTCCATTAGTAGCAGGAGGTTTAAAAATTGGAGAGAGTGGCAACACCAGGACAATAGCCTGATTAATGCTTTTTCAATCACCTGGGCTCATGGCCTAAACTGGTAATGGACTCCATCCATCAAAAAATTATTCTATCTGGCATCCTGGTTTCTGAAGAAATCTGGACGTCCTCATAGAGGATTGGTTAAATGATTTAATGTGGATGAAAGCTCTTAGCACAGTGCCCCAGTAAAAGCTGCTTGAATCTATTCCGTCTATTTTAATATATGTTCAGAGATATAATGACCCACTAGATACACAAGAGAAATAAAATGACAGTTGTATAATGAAGATCTTGAAGCTCTGAGATGTATGATTATCAGCAACGTAAGGATGGCACCTTCTGGGGGAGATTAACCTGGACTCCCCGTTCCTGAGGGTCACTTCTCTCTGTGCTGCCCCTAAACCTCTCTGTATGTGACAGCCCCAGTCCCATGGAAATTCACTGGCTGTGTGTGTTTCTATCCATTTTTTCCACTACAGCCTCAACTTCATCAAAACATACACTGAACTTTCATTGTGGGGTCCCCAAAGTCCAAAAGAGTGCCTGACACAGAAGAAGTATTCAATAAATTTTTGTTGACTGGGCAGTATTTCCAAATTAAAACTCAAAATTAGTGTCATGCGAATGTGTGAGTGAAAGTAGATGATGATAAGGATATCTGATGTATTTTGTGCCAGGCAGGCCTGAAACAGTAGCATCCCTGACCAGAGATAGAAAACAAGACATACTCACTGCTAACATACTCACTGCTAACCCAGCTCATTGCTGTCAAATAACAACAGCTACCACGTTTATAGCACTTACTATATGCTGGACATTGTTCTAAATGCCTTTACCTATCTTTACCCATTTAATTTTCACAATGGGCCTGTGAGGTAACATATTATTATCCCCATTTCACAAATGAAGAGACTGAACTTGTTCAGTCACACAGCTAGTAATGAACAGAGTTGGGATTTGATCCCACAGACACCACTGCACTATATGATGTGACCCCTCCAGAAGAGATGTAGAGAGGTGGCTCCCCACTATTCCTCCCCCTTAGCAGGGGACTTCACAGTGGCCCTGGCAGGTGACATGCCAGATGCACAGGGAAAAGTACCCGTGAGAAGAGACCATCTCCCCGACATGTACCAGATGGAACAGCATCTCCACCACCTACCCAGTGGACCCCCTTCGTTCAGCTACCACTAGGACCTGGGAGGCAGGATCCTAGGCAAAGCCTCACCACATATGGTATCTGTATGGGAAAACTGAGAGCAGAACCATTGCAAGCTGGAGAGATGTTTCATGCTGTGCCCTGTTTCAGGACAGGTGTGGGGGACTAAAGGCAGTGTCTGATCTATACTCCCACCAAACCCCAACAGTGCACTTAGCAGAGGAGTTGTTTCATTCTATTCATAGGTAAAATTGGGTAATGAACCACTAAGAGGAGAGACATGTACATAATGTATTCTTAGGTAAACTGAGGCAAGATGAGGGTGACTGAGTCTGCATGCATTCTGCTGCCCTGCAGGAGCTCACTCTGAACACAGACCCGACTCCAGCACTGTCACTGTCAGAGCCCTCACCCAGGTCACTGGACCCAGAACTCACCTTAGCCCACTCGGCCAAGCTTGAGCTGGCCTTTCACAGCTGTGTAAATAGGATTTCCAAAATCTCCAGAGGAAGGGTGAAAATATCTCCCTGTTTTCTAATTGGCTTATGAAAACATCTTCCTCTAATTGAACTTTCCCCTCTTGCCTGTGCCTTTTGATGCCTATACTTAATTGTTTCTAAACAGGAAGCTAGTGTGATAAGAATTTAGTTACATCTGCATCTTCCGTGCTGAAACTATTTTACCGTATGCTTCTAAAGTTGGTTACAGGTTGATTTTGATGAGAGTAATGTTAAGTCCCACCAGTTTTGCTATAATTGATAGTCTGCTACATGATTGGGGAAAGAAAATTGTTTATTGATTTCCAATTCAAAAAGGACATCTACAAAAGTGTTTCCCACAACCACATGATCCCATTATGCCTCCCCCTATCCCCACCCCTACCATCTTGGTGAGGTCTTACCCCATGGATCACCCCTACCCTTCATCCTATCCAGGATTACCCATCTCTTTGCCTTCATTCACTCATTCATCCATTCAGTCATTAAATACTTATTTCAATACGAATTCCTCTATTATGTGCAGGGAAATTAGCTAGATGGTGAAAATAGAACAGGGGACAAGCAGAAACAGTCACTATCCTCAGGAAGCTCACATGCTAGAGAGTGAAATATATACTACATTACAATTATATGTATAATTATGTCATTGCCACAGTGATACATGACAGAGGGGTACAGGCTTGCAGGAGCTCTTGCAAGTAGGGACCTGAGCTAGGCCAGGGGCTCAGGGGAGCCTTCCCCCAGGAGGTGGCATTTGAACTCAAGTGTGAAAGATGAGTAGAAGTGACAAGTAGCAAGACCCTTTCTGGGAGTGGGAACAGCATATGAAGGACCTGAAGGGAAAGAGGTAGGATATTTTTTAGGAAATCAGGGAAAACATGCATCTGAGTCTGAAAGAAAAGAGGAGACTGGCTGGAGAGAAGGCCAGGGGAAAGGACAGGCAGAGGACTGATCAGGAATATTTAGGATCATAATCCTTATCTTCAAAGCCAAGGAAAGCTGATGTAGAGTTTAAGGATGGAACTGCAAGTCAGTTGGAGGTAGGGTAGGGATGGGTATGGGAACCCCAGACCTTTGCAGCACCACAAGGAAAGGGAGGGTAGTCCTGAATACAGAGTGAGGCATAGAGAAAAGTGAATGACTTGCAGATATGTACAAGAGACAATGGGCAGGATTAGTGATGGGTTGGATACAGGTGGGAAAGAGGAGAAGATATTTTTAGCTTGACCAACTGGGTAGACAGAGCCATTCACCAAAACAGGCAAAAATGACGGAGGCACATGTGTGGAGAGAAAAGTACAAACTTCAGTTTTGAGATGTTGAGTTTTTTGAAACTTATAAACATCCAAGAGGAAACGCATGTGGACACAAGGGTCTGGAGTTTGGAGGAAAGATGTGGACCATCTTTCCAAACTCCAAAAACCAGGAGTTGTTGGCATGCAGGAGTAGTCTTCAAGCCCTGGGAGTGTATTAAAAGGTCTAGGAAATTCTCATTGTTCAATTCCCACCTATGAGTGAGAATATGCGGTGTTTGGTTTTTTGTTCTTGCGATAGTTTACTGAGAATGATGATTTCCAATTTCATCCATGTCCCTACAAAGGACATGAACTCATCATTTTTTATGGCTGCATAGTATTCCATGGTGTATATGTGCCACATTTTCTTAATCCAGTCTATCATTGTTGGACATTTGGGTTGGTTCCAAGTCTTTGCTATTGTGAATAGTGCCACAATAAACATACGTGTGCATGTGTCTTTATAGCAGCATGATTTATAGTCCTTTGGATATATACCCAGTAATGGGATGGCTGGGTCAAATGGTATTTCTAGTTCTAGATCCCTGAGGAATCGCCACACTGACTTCCACAATGGTTGAACTAGTTTACAGTCTCACCAACAGTGTAAAAGTGTTCCTGTTTCTCCACATCCTCTCCAGCACCTGTTGTTTCCTAACTTTTTAATGATTGCCATTCTAACTGGTGTGAGATGGTATCTCATTGTGGTTTTGATTTGCATTTCTCTGATGGCCAGTGATGGTGAGCATTTTTTCATGTGTTTTTTGGCTGCATAAATGTCTTCTTTTGAGAAGTGTCTGTTCATTTCCTTTGCCCACTTTTTGATGGGGTTGTTTGTTTTTTTCTTGTAAATTTGTTTGAGTTCATTGTAGATTCTGGATATTAGCCCTTTGTCAGATGAGTAGGTTGTGAAAATTTTCTCCCATTTTGTGGGTTGCCTGTTCACTCTGATGGTAGTTTCTTTTGCTGTGCAGAAGCTGTTTAGTTTAATTAGATCCCATTTGTCAATTTTGTCTTTTGTTGCCATTGCTTTTGGTGTTTTAGACATGAAGTCCTTGCCCGTGCCTAAGTCCTGAATGGTAATGCCTAGGTTTTCTTCTAGGGTTTTTATGGTTTTAGGTCTAACGTTTAAGTCTTTAATCCATCTTGAATTGATTTTTGTATAAGGTGTAAGGAAGGGATCCAGTTTCAGCTTTCTACATATGGCTAGCCAGTTTTCCCAGCACCATTTATTAAATAGGGAATCCTTTCCCCATTGCTTGTTTTTCTCAGGTTTGTCAAAGATCAGATAGTTGTAGATATGCGGCATTATTTCTGAGGGCTCTGTTCTGTTCCATTGATCTATATCTCTGTTTTGGTACCAGTACCATGCTGTTTTGGTTACTGTAGCCTTGTAGTATAGTTGAAGTCAGGTAGTGTGATGCCTCCAACTTTGTTCTTTTGGCTTAGGATTGACTTGGCGATGTGGGCTCTTTTTTGGTTCCGTATGAACTTTAAAGTAGTTTTTTCCAATTATGTGAAGAAAGTCATTGGTAGCTTGATGGGGACGGCATTGAATCTATAAATTACCTTGGGCAGTATGGCCATTTTCACGATATTGATTCTTCCTACCCATGAGCATGGAATGTTCTTCCATTTGTTTGCATCCTCTTTTATTTCATTGAGCAGTGGTTTGTAGTTCTCCTTGAAGAGGTCCTTCACGTCCCTTGTAAGGTGGATTCCTAGGTATTTTTATTCTCTTTGAAGCAATTGTGAATGGGAGTTCACTCATGATTTGGCTCTCTGTTTGTCTGTTGTTGGTGTGTAAGAATGCTTGTGATTTTTGTACATTGATTTTGTATCCTGAGACTTTGCTGAAGTTGCTTATCAGCTTAAGGAGATTTTGGGCTGAGACAGTGGGGTTTTCTAGATATACAATCATGTCGTCTGCAAACAGGGACAATTTGACTTCCTCTTTTCCTAATTGAATACCCTTTATTTCCTTCACCTGCCTAATTGCCCTGGCCAGAACTTCCAACACTATGTTGAATAGGAGTGGTGAGAGAG
Organism: Homo sapiens; assembly: GCF_000001405.40. NCBI lineage: Eukaryota > Metazoa > Chordata > Mammalia > Primates > Hominidae > Homo > Homo sapiens. The sequence continues at coordinate 29,512,601 of NC_000002.12, read as the reverse complement.
GGCATCCCTGTCTTGTGCCAGTTTTCAAAGGGAATGCTTCCAGTTTTTGCCCATTCAGTATGATATTGGCTGTGGGTTTGTCATAGATAGCTCTTATTATTTTGAGATACGTCCCATCAATTCCTAATTTATTGAGAGTTTTTAGCATGAAGTCTTGTTGAATTTTGTCAAAGGCCTTTTCTGCATCTATTGAGATAATCATGTGGTTTTTGTCTTTGGCTCTGTTTATATGCTGGATTACATTTATTGATTTGCGTATATTGAACCAGCCTTGCATCCCAGGGATGAAGCCCACTTGATCATGGTGGATAAGCTTTTTGATGTGCTGCTGGATTCGGTTTGCCAGTATTTTATTGAGGATTTTTGCATCAATGTTCATCAAGGATATTGGTCTAGACCTAAACAAAATCTAAAGCTATTATAACATTTCTGGAATAAAACATAAGAGAAAATTATTGCAGACTTGGGTAAGAAAAAACTTTTTTAGATAGCATACAAAAAGCATAAACTATAAAACAAAATATTGATCAATAGGAATTTATCAAAATTTAAAACTTTTAAATATTCAAAAGATTCCATTTGAAAAATCAAAATACAAGCCACAGTGTGGGAGAAAATATTAGCTATACTTACATCTGAAAAGAACTTGTACCCACCCAATTAAGTGGGCAAAATATTTTAATAGACGTTACACTAAAGAAGATATACAAATGGCCATGAAACATATGAAAAGATGCTCAACATCGCTAGTCATTAGTAAAATTACAATAGCTAAAATTAGAAAGACTAACCATACCAAGTGTTGTTAAGGATATAAAGGAACTAGAACTTTCATATACTACTGGTGAGAATACAACATGGTATAATCACTTTGGAAAAACAATTGGAACATTTCTTTAAAAACTAGACATATGCCTACCATACAACCCAGCCATTCTACTCCCTGTCTGGACATTTACTCAAGAGGATGAAAACGTATGTCCCCACAAAACTTTATGCATTAAAATTAAGAGCAGCATTATTCACAGTAGTTTAAAACTGCACCCAAATGTGTATCAACAGGTGAATAGATAAAGAAATTGTGGTTTATCTATACTATGGAACACTATCCAACAATAAAAATAAATAAAATACTGATATATATGATAACATGGATGAATCTCAAAATTATTATGCTAAGAGAAAGAAGCCAGGCACAAAGACCACATAGTTTGTGCTTCCATTTATATGTAATTCCAGAAAATGCAAACTAATCTACTAATCTCTAATGACAGAGAGCAAGGCAGTGGTTCCCCAGGAAGCAGGGCAGGATTGACTGCAAAGGGACAAGATAACTTTTTGGAAGGTAGAGAGAGGGTTGGAGATGATGGAAATGTTCTATATTTGGAATGTAGTTGTGGTTTCTCAGTGTAACAACTATTAAAACTCATCAACCTGTACACTTTAAATGGATACCATTTATTGCACATAAGTTTTGCCTCAATAAAGCTGACATTTTGTAAAAATACCTAGAAAAAAGAGGTGAGAGTAAAATTAGTGAAAAGGAGATGAGGAAGTGATACATGTATGTACAGACAAGTGCATTGAGTGTAAGGGTGAAGGGCTAGTGAGAGAGATGGTGGCAGAGCAGAGAGGCAAAGGATCAGAGCCCACTTATTTAGCCTTACCTACCCTTCAGTCTGCCTTGCACAGTGCAGACACAGCTAGAGAACATGAGTGGTATTCCTGGGCCTCTGATTCACGAATCACCTTCCTCATGAAGACTTCTCAGAAAACATCAGCCCACTCTGTTCTCTTCCTCTCTCAACTCTGTAAAACTGTCTAGACCACAAAATAAAACTCCAGTGTCCCACCTGATCAGGTAATACCTGGAAGTTGTTCAACCATACTCTGTTTCCTCAGTCTATAAACATCCAATACTCTCTTTGTTTGCAAATTGTTTTGTATAGGTGTTTCTGGTTTCCCCAAAGAGACTGTTGTTTCACTATTAGTTATTGATTTCTTTTTGCTGCAAACATATTATAATTATTGTACACAATAAATACTTATAGCAGCCTATGAAGTAAATACTATTAATTTCCATTTACAGCAAATAAAACTAAGGCTCAAGGAAATTAAGCAACTTCCCAAAAAAGATGAACTGAGCCTATTCATAATCATTGTAGAAACAAGCTTCTTCTATTTTGGGGCCATGTTTTATGCTTTGTTGGCCCACCATTGCAAGATGCTAAACAAATATTGGTTTATTCATTGATTAATTCCTTCAACTATTATTTTTATGATTTAAAATAGCAAACACCTGCCATCAGGGACTCTTAAGGGGACTTAAGAATGCCAATTGCTAGGGACATTTCATACTTGCCAGACCAGATGAAGGAATTAAAGGAGCCACAGGTTTTGTGTCACTGCCTGGGTGGGATGAAAGAAATGGAGTCAGCTTCCTCCTCTCTGCTTACCCAGCAGCCTTTTTACTTCTTCTAGGATTTCTTCTCCTTCCCTGTGAGAGAAGCCACAAGAATGTCAGGGACTGTGGCCACCTCCACTGGCCACCTTGGCCCAAACCCAGTGTCAAGCTTCCTTTACACCCATGATCCCATAGGCAATCCTGGACTAGAGAGTGGTAACTAAAGCCACTGGGTGGTCATTCTTCTTCTTACAAAGTGCCAAGTCCCAAACCTGAACCACAAACAGATCACAATTGCTAAACCTAAAAACTACCTTTCGATTGCCTTGTAAATAAAGCCCCCTCTCTAGCTCTCTTTCTCTTTTTAAATGCTTCTCCCCAACCCTACCTTTATTCTTTCTGGTTCTCCAGTGTCCCCAAAGTCTGCACTATAATTGCATATCTAAAAGGTTATTTTAGTTGTTGTAAAAGGCATTCCATTAGAAATAAATTGGAATAAAAGAAGAGAGACATGTTAAGAAATATAGATTCCAACTATGTGTCTTTGATTTTTGCATAACTTAGGGTGAGTCATGGTTCTTTGATGAAGCAGTTGGCAGAGGAGGTAAGGATTCATTCATGAATAAAAGTATAAAAGTTCCTAGGATTCATGAGGACTCAGAGAGAGATAGTTGCCTGGAAGGTAGAAAGGCTCTTTTCTTCCAGATTTCAGACTTAATATTCACTGAAAAGCATGAGAGAAGGAGGGACTGAAAGGGATTGTACAAGCAAGTACAGAAAGCTTTCGCTGATCTAATTTACTCTTAAAACAGCCTTCTCCATGGTTGAAGGAACCCCTGTTCTCCTTAAGCCTTTCTATCTCAGCTACATTTTTGAAAAATAAGCTTCTTTTAATCTATCAGGGGAAACCAGGGATGTGTTGAGGATGCTTCTGTGAGAGATGAAGCCGAAATCAATAATGCTGAAAAAGGTCAAAGCTAGAATTGTTATTTAAATGTTGAGTGTCCCCAAATTTACTACAAGTTGCTTATAAACATTTACAAAATTGACTCTCTTTTCCCTCTAGAAGTTTCCATGACAGAAAAGCCTCCACACATGACCATGGGCACCTGGTCTTCTCATAGCAGGGCTTATGTATCACTGTTCCCCTCCGTCCACAGATGGGCATACCTGCACACGCTACTCACATCCATTTCTTTTTCCCTTTCTATTAAAATAAAAATACACACTGAATTAGAATCACCAAGAAAGGAGCCTGGGCATCTTTTTAATAATGCACACCTTGATGATCTCCATGACTGGGCACGCTTGGGAGACGCTGAATTAGATGGCTTAAGCAGAACTTCTCAGCATTTGTTGTGCCTGTGAATCACCTGGGGATCTAGTAAAATGCATGTTCTGATTCAATAGGTCAGGGATGGGCTGGAAGTCTGGATTTCTTTTTTTTTTTTTTTTTTTTTTTTTGAGTTGCAGATATGGGATTTTTTTGGGTTTTTTTTTTATTATACTCTAAGTTTTAGGGTACATGTGCACAACATGCAGGTTAGTTACGTATGTATACATGTGCCATGTTGGTGTGCTGCACCCATTAACTCATCATTTAACATTAGGTATATCTCCTAATGCTATCCCTTCCCGCTCCCCACACCCCATGACAGGCACCAGTGTGTGATGTTCCCCTTCTGGTGTCCATGTGTTCTCATTGTTCAATTCCCACCTATGAGTGAGAACACGCGGTGTTTGGTTTTTTGTCCCTGCGATAGTTTGCTGAGAATGATGGTTTCCAGCTTCATCCATGTCCCTACAAAGGACATGAACTCATCATTTTTTATGGCTGCATAGTATTCCATGGTGTATATGTGCCACATTTTCTGCATTTCTAACAAGCTGACGCCTATACTGCTCTGAACAGACCACTTTCAGTAGCAGGAGTCAGAAAGGAAATGCGTTGGGTGTCCACATGCAGATGTTAACTGAAGCTAGAGGCCAGAACAGTTTCAGAGGGTCCACGTGTACTTTCTGCTTGCCTTGAACATCAGATCAGTGACGGTGGAAAAGCCTCTCAAGAAAGCCAGCCAGACCCTGTAGGGTGGCAGTTTCTCAGTGCACTCCCCAAGTTCTAGATCAGACCCTCAGTTTGGTGGGGCCAAACATGCTCAGGACTCAGGCTAACCACACTCACGCAAGACATGTAAGTCATGAATAGGATTTTGAAATGTCCAATAAAACATACAGTGATTGGTGTGAATTCACTCCTTGACCAATCAGTGCATTCTCTGACTGCCGGCAGAGCCACGCTGGGGGCCAAGATAACTGATTATGATCAGTAGGTGGTTTGGTGAACAGGCCTTCAGATACATCAACTCATTGACATCATGGCCCCTCTCTGTACCATGAGGGCCATCTTAAGTCAGGACTCAGTCAGCTTGTCCTGCCTTTCCTGCTCCTATTCTAGGAAGTTCTTGCTTCTCTAGATTTGTTTGTGTTCAACTCATTATTGCATCCTAATCCCTCCTAAACCCCAGGTGCTATCCTGAGCACAGAGGCCATAGAAATGTTAATTTTAGTCAAACCCTGCTCCTCCTGATTTGGGCCTGGCCTGGAAGTCATTTCTGCCTCTTAGTTTTTTCCATTTTTAATTATTTAACAGTGGTAAAATGCACATAAAATTTACCATCTTAATCATCTTTAAATGTACAGTTCAATAGTGTTAAAGTACATTCACATTGCTTTGCAACTATCACCACCATCTATCTCTAGAACCTTTTCATCATCCCAAACTGAAACTGTGTACCCAATAAACAATAGTTCCCCACTTCCCCCTACCTCCAACCCCAGGCAACCACCACTATACTTTCTGTCTATATGAATTTGACTACTCTAGGTACCTCAAAAATGTAGAATTCGATGGTATTTGTCGTTTTGTGATTGACATTTCACTTAGCATAATGTGCTCAAGGTTCATTCATATTGTAACGTGTGTCAGAGTTTTCTTCCTTTTTTAATGCTGAATAATATTCCATTGTATGTATATACCACATTTGGTTTATTCATTCATCTGTCAATGGAGACTTGAGTTGCTTTCAACATTTGACTATTGTGAATAATGCTGCTATAATCATGGTTGTGCAAATACCTCTTCAAGACCCTGCTTTCCCTTTTCTTGGATATATACCTAGAAGTGGAATTGCTGGATCCTACGGTAATTTGGCTTTTAATTTTCTAAGGAGTTACCATGATGTTTCCATAGTGGCTGCATCATTTTACATTCCTACCAGCAGTGCACAAGGATTCCAATGTCTCTACATCCTCACTGATATTTTCACCTCTTCCTTTAAGTGTCTTTGTCAGTTACAAGCTGGGTCATTCCCCAGTGTCCCACCCAAAACACTGTTTCGGTCTTCTTTACCCCATCCAAATCCTGCTTAACTTTTTTTTTTTGTTTTGTTTTTGAGACGGAGTCTTGCTCCGTCACCCAGGCTGGAGGGCAGTGGCACAATCTCGGCTCACCGCAAGCTCTGCCTCCTGGGTTCACACCATTCTCCTGCCTCAGCCTCCTGAGGAGCTGGGACT